>NC_000001.11:52584138-52735653 GCF_000001405.40 Homo sapiens | reverse complement strand
GAGGCAGGAGAATCACTTGAACTCGGGAGGCGGAGGCTGCAGTGAGCCGAGATCGCGCCACTGCACTCCAGTCTGGGTGGCAGAGAGAGACTCTGTCTCAAAATAAAAAAAATTCTGAGTAGGAAGAGTGGCACGCCTCCAGTCTTTTCTCATTCCACCCTTGCCTAGTTACTATACAATTTCTTTTTCTTTCATTTATGAGCCTGAAAAATCTTAATCACAATTACTTAGTGTGAGAATAATACTTGTAGCATTAAGTTTGTCAAAGAAATACTTAAGTGCTGAAGACATATTGTTCTTCAAAGTGCTTTAGAAAAGTGATTTGGGCCGGGCACGGTGGCTCATGCCTGTAATCCCAGCACTCTGGGAGGCCGAGGCAGGCGGATCACCAGAGGTTGGGAGTTCGATACCAGCCTGACCAACATGGAGAAACCCCTCTCTACTAAAAATACAAAATTAGCCAGGCATGGTGGCACATGCCTGTAATCCCAGCTACTAGGGAGGCTAAGGCAGGAGAACCGCTTGAACCTGGGAGGCGGAGGCTGCGGTGAGCCGAGATCGCGCCATTGCACTCCAGCCTGGGCAACGAGAGAAACTCCGTCTCAAAAAAAAAAAAAGTGATTTGGACCGGGCGCAGTGGCTCATACCTGTAATCCCAAAACTTTGGGAAGCCAAGGCGGGCGGATCACCTGAGGTCAGGAGTTCAAGACAAGCCTGACCAACATGGAGAAACCCTGTCTCTACCAAAAATACAAAAATTAGCTGAGCACGGTGGCACATGCCTGTAATCCCAGCTACTCGGGGGGCTGAGGCAGGAAAATCGTTTGAACCCGGGAGGTGGACGTTGTGTTGAGCCCAGATTGCACCATTGCACTCCAACCTGGGCAACAAGAGCGAAACTCCATCTCAAAATAAAAGAAAAAGAAAAAGAAAATTGGTCAGAGAGTGTGTACAATTTTGTGGTTCTTGAACTCATACTGCCAAATCACTTTTTTTTTTTTTGGAGCCAGAGTTTCACTCTTGTTGCCCAGGCTGGAGTGCAATGGCGCGATCTCGGCTCACTGCAACCTCCGCCTCCCAGGTTCAAGTGGTTCTCCTGCCTCAGCCTTCTGAGTAGCTGGTATCACAGGCATGCGCTACCACACCCAGCTAATTTTTTATTTTTTATTTTTTTTTGAGATGGCAACAGATTGAGACTCTTTAAAAAAAAAAACCTTTTATTCCATTGTTAATAATGACTATTTCTACCGCTTATTAAATATACTTTAAGAGCTAGTTTTAGGACCTATGAAAAAAGCAGTGTTTTAGCCAGCATTTCCCAATTCATCTACAGGCTCACATCATTACATTCAATATTGATGTCTGCCGGGCTCATGGCTTGACATCCCAGCACTTTGATGGGCTGAGGCAGTAGGATCACTTGAGCCCAGGAGTTTGAGACCAGCCTGGCAACATAATCTAGACCCTACCTCTACAAAAATAAAAAAAATTAGCTGGGCATGCTGGCATATGCCTGTGGTCCCAGCAACTCAGGAGGATGAAGCAAGAGATCATCTAAGCCCAGGAGTTCATGGTTATAGTGAGCTATGATTACGCCCCTGCACTCCAGCCTGGGCCACAGAGCAAGACCCTGTCACTATGAAAAAACAAAACAAAAAAAAATTATGTCTATTTCAATTTGTATATTTTTGAATATTTAATAATTATCTAAAATTTTCTCCTTTATAAAAATAGAATAGTTTGAGAGTATCCAACAATTTATCTACTGAATGTGTGTCAATTAGTGGGAATTAGGAGAATGGCTCATGATAAAGTCATTGCATTGTTATAACTTAATCTGAACACTGAATGCAGTAGCTTTTCTTTGTATAACAAACTGTTAAAGACAAGAAATATAAGTACATTGATGATGAAATACAAGAATGAGTACATTTATCTGATCATGATTCTTAAATGATACATCAAGATATCTCTGATTGATTGATTGATTGATCTTACAGTGTCTTGCTCTGTTGCCCAGCCTGGAGTGCAGTGGTGTGAACCCTGCTCACTGCAGCTTCAACCTCCTAGGCTCAAGCAATCCTCCCACCTCAGCATCCTGTGTAGCTGAGACCCCAGATGTGCGCTAATTTTTTCATTCTGTGTAGAGATAGGGTCTCACTATCTTGTCCAGGCTGGTCTCGAACTCCTGGGCTCAAGCAATCCACCCACCTTTGTCTCCCAAAGTGTTGGGATTATAGATGTGGATTACAGGCGTGAGCCACCATGCCCAGCCTCACAAAAACTATACAAAAAATATACTCTTGGAAATCATTAAGCATGACCTCTAGAACAAACACATTTAATAAAAAAGAATAAAAACTAACATTCTATTTAAGAGATATTACTATTATTTTGAAATCAGGGAACCTATAAAAGGTTTGATATACAAATTTTACCACAGAGTAAAATCTGATAAAACTTTCTCAGTAACTTAAGATAATTTTACGTACAGAAATTCAATGCAAGATACTCTGAAAATGACTAGAATGATGATCCTACAGAGAACTAGCTGAGGCTTGTTTGTAAATTTTACTGAAATAGGAAATAATTCTGTCTTTGTATACAATTGCTTCCACGCATGAGCTTTATCTAAGGAAAATAACCTCCTATGTTGGGTTAATAATTTTTTTTTTTTGAGATGGAGTTTCACTCTTTTTGCCCAGGCTGGAGTGCAATGGCTCGATCTCAGCTTACTGCAACCTCCGCGCCCCCCGGGTTCAAGTGATTCTCCTGCCTCAGCCTCCGGAGTAGCTGGGATTACAGGCACCCGCCACCACGCTCGGCTAATTTTTGTATTTTTAGTAGAGACAGGGTTTCACCACATTGGCCAGGGTGGCCTTTTTTTTTTGAGACAGAGTCTTGCTCTGTCGCCAGGCTGGAGTGCAGTGGCACAATCTCGGCTCACTGCAACCTCTGCCTCCCGGGTTCAAGCGATTCTCCTGCCTCAGACTCCTGAGTAGTTGGGACTACTGGTGTGTGCCACCACGCTCAGCTAGTTTTTCTATTTTTAGTAGAGACGGGGTGTCTTTTTTTAACCTCTGTAATCACAGTGTCTCAATCTCTTGACCTCGTGATCCGTCTGCCTTGGCCTCCCAAAGTGCTGGGATTACAGGCGTGAGCCACCACACCCGGCCAAATTATTAATTTAGAATTTTAGTCAGCTAATAAATTATATGTCTAATAATAGGGGGAGATACAGAATGCCACTAGTGTTAATATTTAATCTCTGTATACAAGATATAATTTTCTTTTAAGCAAGAAGGAAATTTAGTAAGATTTCCCTCCTATTGTAGGACATTTCTCCACTTGTGCTTCTGAATAACTCTGATTCATACTGGCCTGAGACTGCTCAGACTTATGGTTCAAAAGCATAAGCTTGGAAGGGATTTCAATTTATTTATTGATTCCCCTACACACATCCTTTTTCAAGTTTCAAGAACACATTTACTGATACTAATAATAACTTCCATCTTTTTAGTTCAAAATGTCACTGTCATAAGAAAAAAATAGGCTGGGCACGATGGCTCAGGCCTGTAATCCCAGGACTTTGGGAAGCCAAAGTGGGCAGATCACGTGAGTCCAGGAGTTTGAGAGCAGCCTGGGCAACATGGTGAAACCCCATCTCTACAGAAATACAAAAATTAGCCTGGCGTGGTACTGCACGCCTGTAGTCCCAGCTGCTTGAGTTGGATGAGGCGGGAGGATGGCTTGGGCCTGGGAGGTCGAGACTGCAGCAAGCCGTGGTTGCACCACTGAACTCCAGCCTGGGTGACAGAGTGAGATCCTGTCTCAAAAATAAATAAATAAATAAAAGCTATTAGTGTTGCTGCTTAACCATCCCATCTAAAATAGTTGCCCTCTCACACACACACAATATCACTTTATATCTTAGCCTGGTTTATTTTTTCTTAGTATTTATTATATAACTATTGTCATTATACATTTATAGGTGTATTTATTGTGTATCCCCTCCCTGTACCCCATGTCTTTTTTTCACTTCTGTAATCACAGTGCCTAGAACATCACCTAGCCCTTAGGAGCTGGTCAAAAATCATCTCTTTATCAATGATTTTTATATTCTGGACATGGAAAGAGACTCTAATCAAATAATTACAGTAAGAAATATAAAATTCCTGTTGCTATGTATTCTATGAAAAAGTGCTACATAATAAAGAGGAGAGTGACCTAGGTTTTTTGGACAGCGTTTCCCTGAGTTCCTTGAATGGAGAACTCCAGGATATGTTAGAGTTAGGCAGGCAAGAGAGAGTATCACCACAGGTCATTTGCACATGCTGCTCCTTCTGTCTGGACTCTTTTTTTTTTTTTTCTTTTTTTTTGAGATGGAGCCTCACTCTGTTGCCCAGGCTGGAGTGCAGTGGCACAATCGCAGCTCACACTGCAGCCTCCACCTCCCGGGTTCAAGCAATTCTCCTGCCTCAGCCTCCCGAGTAGCTGGGATTACAGGCACCTGCCACCATGCACAGCTTATTTTTGCATTTTTAGTAGAGACGGGGTTTCTCCATATTGGTCAGGCTGGTCTTGAACTCCTGACCTCAGGTGATTCACCCACCTCGGCCTCCCAAACTGCTGGGATTACAGGCATGAGCCACTGCACCCAGCCTATCTGGACTATTCTTTACATAACTCCTACAATTTAATCCCTCAGTTCTCTACTTGAAAGTAAGACCCTCTGCAAAGCTACTCCTAACTATTCCATTCCATTATTCCACAACTTCTCTTTTCTTTCCTTTCTATTTTTTTTTTTTTTTAATGAGGTCTCGCTCTGTTGCCCAGGCTGGAGTGCAGTGGCATGATCATAACTCAATGCAGCCTTGAACTGCTGGGCTCAAGTGAGCCTCCCACCTCAGGCTTTAGAGCAGATGGTACTACAGGCATGCACCACCATGCCCAGCTATCAACTTGTCCTTTTTCAGCACACTCAAGATATATTAAAACTCTTCACATTTAAAATTACTGTATGAAGGCTGGATGCAGTGGCTTGTGCCTGTAATCCCAGCACTTTGGGAGGCCAAAGCGGGAAGATCCCTGGAGGCCAGAAGTTTGGTACCAGCCTGGCCAACACAGGGAGATCTCTTCTCTACACAAAAACAAAAAATCAGCTGCACATAATAGAGCACACTTGAAGTCCTAGCTTTACTTGGGAGGCTGAGCTGGAAGGACTGCTTGAGCCTAGGGGTTTGAGGCTGCAATGAGCCGTAATCACGCCGCTGCACTCCAGTCTAGGCGGCAGAGCCAGACCCTATCTCAAAATAAATAAATAAATACATAATAAAATAAAATTACTCTATATACATGAGATGAAAAATGCCAGAGGTCACATCTATTTTACTATCTGTCATTTCCCCAGTGTCAACACAGTCAAAGACACTCCAAAAACATTATTAGATTAATTAAAAGTAAGGACTATGTCTTAGACCAGTAGTTCTCAAATTGTGGTTCACAGACCAGCAGCATCAGCATTATGTGGGTTTTGACAGAAATGCAAACTTTTGTAGTAGTTCACGTCTATAATTCCAGCACTCTGGGAGGCTGAGGCAGGAGGATCACTGGAGCCCAGGAGTTTGAGGCCAGCCTAGGCAACATGGCGAAACCCCATCTCTGCAAAACATATAAAAATTAGCCAGGTGTGATGATGGGCACCTGTGGTCCCAGCTACTTGGGAGGCTGAGGTGAGAGGATCGCTTGAGCCTGGGAAGTCAAGGCTGCAGTGAGCTGTGATCATGCCACTGCACTTCAGCTTAGGGACAGAGCAAGACCCTGCCTCAAAAAAAAAAGAACTGCCACCTCTCAGGCCCTGCCCTCAGTTCACTGCAACCTCCACCTCCTGGGTTCAAGTGATTCTCCTACCTCAGCCTCCCGAGTAGCTGGGATTACAGGCATGTGCCACCACACCCAGCTAATTTTTGTATTTTTAGTAGAGACGAGGCTTTGCCATGTTGGCCAGGCTGGTCTCGAACTCCTGACATCTTAAACATCTCAACTATTCAAACACAACCTAATTAACATTTAACAAATATAAAATACAAAGCTTTATAATAATCATTCATTCAACTGTATTTATTATCTACAAAAATATTGCACGAGAAAGTGGCCTCTACTGATAATTCCTAGCTCAAAATAAGCTAATATTCTGCCTTCTCCTCACCTCTCCCATACATACACTGTTACTCTGTGTGTATATGTTTTAACAAGCAAGGAAAAATCAAGTTAATTAGATGCAAAGTTTAAAACATAATCATGCCTAATATGTCTGCTGTGGTCTGAATTCTGTCTCCCTAAATTCATATGTTGGAATCCTAACCCCCAAGGTAATGGTATGAGGAGGTGGGGCCTTTGGGAGGTGATTAGATCACCAGTTAGTGCCCACATGAATGGGATTAGTGCCCTTATAAAAGAGACTCCAGAGAGCTGCCTGGCCCCTGCCACCATGTGTGAAAACAGTGAAAAGGTGACTTAGGAAGAGCCCTCACGAGACACTGAATCCACTGGGGAACTGATTTTGGACTTCCCAGCCTTCCAAACTCTGAGAAATAAATTTCTGTTGCTGACAAGCTACCTAGTTTATGGTATTTTGTTACAGTAGATTGAATGGGCTAAGACAGTATCTTGCTAGCCTCATTTCCTACTACACATCTCCATTCTTGCATCCTTCCATGCTATATAAGGGTAATACTACTTCCTACAATGCATCCTAATTCCTTCCTACTTTCTTTCTTAAAAAAAAAAAAATCCCTGTGAGGGGATCCTTTCTACTTGCTACTCACATTCACAATGAGGCATTCTTCCCCTTCCCAAAATGATCTATATAAATCCTATTCAACTTTCAGGCCCAGCTCAAAGGACACTTTTAGATCCTAAATACCTCAAAGGGGAGTTCATAACTCCTCCCTCTCATACATTCATTCTCAATGGAAGGGCCCACACTTTCAAAAATCTAGCAGTGTAATGTCTTAGGTAGGATAGCTCTTTATTCTGAAAAGTATATCATCATACCTCACTCAATATCATTTTTGCATCAAAATTAAGATTCTCTGCCCAGGCGTGATGGCTCATGCCTGTAATTCTAGCACTTTGGGAGGCCAAGGTGGGAGGATGGCTTGAATCCAGGAGGTCAAGACCAGACTGGGCAACACAGCAAGACTCCATTTCTACAAAAAGTTTTACAAATTAGCGGGGCACGGTAGTCCGTGCCTGTGGTACCAGCTACTTGTGAGGCTGAGGTGGGAAGATCACTTGACCTCAGGAGTTCAAGGTTGCAAAGAGCCATGATTGTGCCACTGCATTCCAGCCTGGGCCACAGAGCAAGATCGTCTCCAAACAACAATTCTCAAACTCACTCTTTCTGTGTAGTCCACTAGTTACCTCAAATTTCAGTTTAAGTTTATATTAGTCAGGTGGGAAATGAGACCATAAAGTGAATCATTCAAGCACCTAGCTGGCCTGGGCACTTGGAATAATAAGTAAGGAACGGTTGCTACCTAGAACTTACATTCCACAGGGAGAAACAGGTTAGCATACAACAACAGTGTGTGAAAGTGAAGGAGACAAACACAGGAAAATGACAGACTAAAAATGCAGGAGTGAGTTAGGGAAAATTCATAGATTAAATAATTTTATAGTATATTACTTTTCTAAAAAACTGCTGGAGGGAAAAAAAGAAACTGACTAACCTCCTAGGGGAACATAATTATCAGGACTTAGTTTTGCCTTATTCCTCCCAGAGACCAAAATTTAGCTTGTTGCATATGATGGAGCAATGTTTTCAATAAATGTACAGCAAACCACTTATAACCCAACTCAATGAAAAAACCAACTGAAGCCTCAACCTATTTTCAGACAGAAAGAAAATTTGCAAATATAAGGTTCTCCCAACTAAAGGCAGACAGGGCAAAACAAATGAACTCTTTAGAAGGTTTAAAGAGACTGTCACAACCTGCCAACCTGATTGTCAGTCCTCAAATGCCCTTGGTCTCTGCCTCCAAATGAAAACAAATCATTTGTTTTTAGTAATAATAGCCAAGCTTGTAAATAAGTATTTTTAAACTTCTCCAACTGCACCTCCACATTAAAAGATGCTCAAAATAAAAAAAATTCAAAACATTTTTTAGCTATTTCTGTCAAAAGACTAGATCTCTCCTGAGGTCACAGTATGCATGCTGGCCCTCACTTCACTGCTCTGTAACACACCACCACTTCGATTTTGCAATGACACTAGGTGAATAGGCTTCCAGGATCTCTTCAATGCCTCCAAAAACGAAAAGGAAGAAGCAAACCTATAAATCCCTATCTGCCCGCCCTACAGCTCCCGGGAAGCAACAGTCCTCAAATTGTTCCTGCTTAGACCCCTGAAGCCCGTAGAAGGAAATGGGGACAGCTGCGACGGCGAACCGAGCGAGGACATCCGATAAGGGAAGAGGAAACGTGGATGGAAGAGGACGAAGGGGAGAAGGAACACGGAGAGAAGGGGGCAGTGGAGATAAAATGGTGAAGAGGGGTGAGAAGAGCAAGGAAGAGCAGCGAAAACTAGGGAGGAAAGGGGGGAAAGTAAAAATCACATAAGAGGAAAAAAGGCAAAATGATAGAGGAGAAAGAAAGGAAGGGTTAGGGTTAAAGGACAAGGAGTGGGCGACAAAGGGAATGCGAAAAAGGCTGTCACTGGGGGTGATAAAAAGGATGTCATCGGGGAGAAGGGAGATTCAGGGGGTGTCACCTAAAGGGGTTCACCGAAGCAGGTGAATGGGGAAGGAGGAGCTGAACACCGAGGGGGCGGTAACGAGGGAGAGAGGTAAAGGCAGGGAGCCCGAGGGGACACCAGAGACAGGGAGGGGCAAGACCGCAGGGGCCAGCGCGACGGGCGGGGGCTAGGGTGGCGGGCGGCTGCGGCTAGGGCAGGCCTTGCTCCCTCACCATGGCTGCGCCGGCCTGGTCCTCGGGCATGCAGCCTCCGTCCTGGGTGCGGCGGCGGGCCGGACCGGAGCCCGCCCCCAGGCTGAGCCGGCGCGGAGGCTCCAGGAGGCTCCGGCGAGCGGCGGCTCCGGGCTTGGCCCAGGCCTCGGCCTCTTTCCCTCAAGCTAGGAGCGTAGCAGTAGCAGCCGCAGCCGCAGCCGCAGCCGCAGCCCGAACCAGAGCGCAGACTCCGCCCCCGCGAGGACCCGCCCGGGCGCGCGAGCCCGCGCCTGGACCCGCCTCCGCTCTCAATGCGCAGACTCAGACGAGGGGGTCCCGCCCCCCCCAGCCCGACCTCCAGCTTCTCCCCCTCCCAGGCCCTTAAAGGAGCCACACACCCCCAAATCCTAGCATCCCTTCAAAATATGAAAAGCTTTAAATATTACATCATGACGAGAGATTAGAGCATCGCTCACTTCGGTCACCTATAGACTCCTCTGTCATTCACCATCATTCTCTAAGATTTGGGCTTCTGGTTCACTGTCATTCATTACTACTATTGTCATAACTCTTGGTTATTTCAAAATTCGCTTAATTCTTCCAATCCTCTGGCCTCTCAGATTCTTCTCTAGGGATCATTCTTGGCTCAGCCTCTCACTCTCATGCTCATACGAATAATTGTAACTTCTCTACAATCTCAATTTTAATCCTCTAACTCCCATTGCAACCTTCTTCCTTTCTTTCTTTCTTTCTTTCTTTCTTTTTTTTTTTTTTTTTTGAGATGGAGTTTCGCTCTTGTTGCCCAGGCTGGAGTGCAGTGGTGCGATCTTGGCTCACTGCAACCTCCACCTCCCGGGTTCAAGTGATTCTCCTGCCTTAGCCTCCCGAGTAGCTGGGATTACAAACACCCGGCACCACACCCGGCTAATTTTTGTATTTTTAGTAGAGAAGTGGCTTCACCATGTTGGCCAGGCTGGTCTCGAACTCCTGACCTCAGGTGATCCGCTTGCCTTGGCCTTCCAAAGTGCTGGGATTACAGGCGTGAGCCGCTGCGCCCGGCCACAACCTTCTTCCTTTCTAGCTCACTCTGTCTGATAATACTCCAACTCCAAAAACTTCAACTCCAAGACCCCAAATCCATTGATCCAACTACCTTTTCGCTATTCCTCCCCACGCTGGCCTTATGTACTCACTTTCTTCCTGAAACAGCTTAGATTCTATCGTCCGTCATGAAATGGAATCTAATAGAATCTAAGCTGTTTGGGGAAGAAAGTGAGTACATGAGGTACATGAAGTCGATTTCTTCAGTATTACCTTCATTTCTCTAGTCGTTCTCTGCTTTCTTTGTACTGACAGAACTCCAGCAATGGAGTGGGTGGAGAAAAAGCCAAAAGTGGTTGACTGACTCCCCGTAAATTTGAGATCATTATTCTCAAGAGGCCATAATGAGTGGCTACCCTACCACATTTCTCCAGTTTCACACACTCTCCCACCTTGCTACATAACTATTTCAAGTCTCCTGTCTCTTCAAACCTCCGACACTTCCTCCCTCATCTCATTTAGCTGATGATTTTGCTTCTAATTCACAAGAAAATCAAACAAACCAAAAAGAACATCTACAAGTTCCCAGCACCCACCATGACTTCCAACGAACCTGTAACTCTGCTTTGATGCTCTCTCTGCCTTCCTTTCCTTACTACAAGTTAATTATTTGTCTTTTAGCTAACATCAAATCCTCCTCAGTTCTCAAGCATCTGTGCTAAAAGACCCAGATTTTATCCCCAATCACAAAACTAAATTTCTGTAAAATACAATCAAAATTAATTACTAGAAAAAATTAAAATTTAAAAACAAGCATCCAAAATGCAAGCCCAGATTTTTTAAACCTGCTTAACCATTTTAAAGTGTACAGTTCAATGGTATTAAATACATTCACATTGTTGTGCAACCATCCCCATCAAGAAGCTCCAGAACTTTTTATTTTTTCTTTTATTTATTTATTTATTTATTTATTGAGACAAGTTCTTACCCTGTCACCCATCAGGAGTACAGTGGCACAATCACGGCTCACTCAGCCTCAAACTCCTGGGCTGAAGCGATCCTCCCACCTCAGCCTCCTAAGCAGCTAGAACTACAGGCACATACCACCACGCCTGGCTACCTTTTTTTTTTTTTTTTTTTGTAGAGACAAGGTCTCACTGTGTTGCCCAGGTTTGTCTCAAACTCCTAGGCTCAAGTAATCCTCCTGCCACAGACTTCTAAAGTGCTAGGATTACAGACGTGAGCCAATGTGCCAGGCCTCCAGAACTTTTTTATCTTGCAAAGCTGAAAGCTTGTACTCATTAAACAATAACTCCCCATTCCTAACTTCCCCCAATCCCTCGCCATCACTGTTCTGCTTTCTATCTCTATGAATTTGACTACTCTAGGCAGAATTTTTATTATTAAACCCAACACGCGTAACATTTTTCTGTCAAATTGTTATAAAAGTTTCAAAATATTAATTCTGAATTGCTGTCACAAACTGGTGAAAAACCATTTCTAGATGGTCACTAGTCCATTGATGACACTTTGAGGAGCTCAAGTACTAGGTCTCATACCACGTCACTTTCTCAAAGACACCTATCCAGCAATTCTTCCTCTCACCTACATCGCTATTTTTCTGCTATTACCTCTCATTGCTATAGCAACATGATTTTATTTCTTCCATCTTAAAACAATCAAACAAAAAAACCCTCCTTAGGTTGCAGTGAGCCAAGATCACGCCACTGCACTCTAGCCTGGGCAACAGAGCGAGACTCCACCTCAAAAAAAAAAAAAAAACCCTCTCTTGACTGGACTTGACCCCCCACCTACTGCCCCATTTCTCCATTCTCTTTTCTGCAAAATGTCTCACAAAGGTGGCTTGTACATGGTCTCACTCTGTTGCTTAGGCTGGAGTGCAGTGGTGCGATCTCAGCTCACTGCAACCTTAGCCTCCTGGGTTCAAGCAATCCTCCCACTTCAGCCTCCCAAGTAGCTGGAACTACAGGCATGTGCCACCACGTCCAACTAATTTTTGTATTTTTTGTGGAGATGAGGTTTCATCATGTTGCCTAGGCTGGTCTTGAACTCCTGAGCTCAAGCAATCTGCCTGCCTTGGCCTCCCAAAATGCTGAGATTACAGGCATGAGCCACCTCGCCTGGCCTTGACTTCCTTTTTCTCATTTTCGGTGAGATCCTCTCTGGTTAAGCTTTTACCTCCTCCACTCCACTGAAATGCCCTTGTCAAGGTCACTAGTGGTGTCCATTTGCTGACACCAGTCAATTCTCAGTCCTCGTGTTACTTGACCTACCAACATCACTAGACACAGCTCATTACTTCCCCCTCCTTGGCTACCATGACATTTCACCCCCTCGGGTCTTCTATCTCACTGGCTGCTCCTAGTTTCTCCTCATTTCTCTGACCTCTAAATACTGTAGTACCCCAAGGCTCAATATTTCGACTTTTTGTCTTTTGCATGTACACTCCTTGATAATCTTATCCCAACACATTACTTTAAATATTATCTATGCTGTGATAACCCCAAAATTATATCTGCATTCTGAATTTCATACTTAAATATCTAACTGCCAGCTAAACATATCCCCTTATATGTCTAGTAAGCTACAATTTTTCTTAGTAGTTACTCAATAGACTTCCCCTCAAGTACCATGGATAAGCCAATAAATACCAAAGAGAATAGGACCAACAATAGTAGCTTAGACCAATCATGATTTACTCTCCGTCTGATCTGTGAGTTACTTTCCCTAAGGACTTCCTTGTAGTGGAGGAAAATCGTCATTAAAAATTAGAGTTCTGGGCTGGGTGTGGTGGCTCAGGCCTGTAATCCCAGCATTTTAGGAGGCTGAGGTGGGTGGATCATGAGGTTAGGAGATCAAGACCAGCCCGGCCAACATGGTGAAACTCCATCTCTACTAAAAATACAAAAGAAATTAGCTGGGTGTAGCGGTGCGCACCTGTAGTCCCAGCTACTCAGGAAGCTGAGGCAGGAGACTCGCTTGAACCCGGCAGGCGGAAGTTGCAGTGAGCCAAGATCACTCCATTGCACTCCAGCCTGGGCGACAGAGAGGGACTCCTTCTCAAAAAAAAAAAAAAAAAAAAAGAAAGAAAAAAAAATTAGAGTTCTAGCCAGCCAAGGTGGTTCACACTTGTAATCCCAGCACTTTGGGAGGCCAAGGCAGGCAGATGGTTTGAGACCAAAAGTTTGAGACCAGCCTGGGCAAAATGGCAAAATCCCATCTCTACAAAAAAATACCAAAAAGTAGCTGGGCATGGTGGTAGTTTCAGCTACTCAAGAGACTGAGGTGGGAGGATCACCTGAGCCCTGGAGGTCGAGGCTGCTATGAGGCATCATCACGCCACTGCACTCCAGCCTGTGTGACAGAGTAAGACCCTATCTCCAAAAATAAATAAATAAATAAGAGTTCTGCAATCAAGAAAGAATGGAGTCACAGTTGATTTGCTTGATTTGCAATCAATGAAGCACAAACAGATCAAAAATACATCCAAATTACCTAGGAATTTAGTATAATACTGAAGGTAGCATTTCAAGTCAGAAAGCAAAAGTTGGAATTGTATTTGGTGTTAGAATAACTGGATAGACATCTAGAAAATTTTAACTTGGATTTATACTTCACACTATTCACCAAGACAAATTTCAAATATATCAAATATTAAAATGTAAAAAAGAAGAACGAGCATGGTGGCTCACGCCTGTAATTCCAGCACTTTGGGAGGCCCAGGCAGGCAGATCACTTGAAGTCGAGTTCAAGACCACCCTGGCCAAGATGGTGAAACCCCATCTCTACTAAAAATACAAAATTAGGCCGGGCACAGTGGCTTCCAGCACTTTGAGAGGTCAAGGCAGGTGGATCACAAGGTCAGGAGTTCAAGACCAGCCTGACCTAGATGGTGAAACTCCGTCTCTATTAAAACTACAAAAATTACAGGCAACGGCTGTAATCCCAGCTACTCCGGTGGCTGAGACAAGAGAATCGCTTGAACCTGGGTGGCAGAGATTGCAGTGAGCCAAGATCGAGCCACTGCACTCCAGCCTGGATGACCGAGTGAGACTCCGTCTCAAAAAAAAAAAAAAAAAAAAAGCCGGGCACAGTGGCTCCCGCTTGTAATCCCAGCACTTTGGGAGGCCGAGGTGGGCAGATCATGAGGTCAGGAGATCGAGACCATCCTGGCTAACACGGTGAAACCCCGTCTCTACTAAAAATACAAAAAATTAGCCGGGCGCAGTGGCGGACGCCTGCAGTCCCAGCTACTCGGGAGGCTGAGGCAGGAGAATGGCGTGAACCCGGCAGGCGGAGCTTGCAGTGAGCCGAGATCGCGCCACTGCACTTCAGCCTGGGCAACAGAGCGAGACTCTGTCTCAAAAAAAAAAAAAAAAAAAAAAAAAGTAAAAAAGAAAGAAGCGCCGGGCGCGGTGGCTCACGCCTGTAATCCCAGCACTTTGGGAGGCCGAGGCGGGTGGATCACGAGGTCAGGAGATCGAGACCATCCTGGCTAACAAGGTGAAACCCCGTCTCTACTAAAAATACAAAAAATTAGCCGGGCGCGGTGGCGGGCGCCTGTAGTCCCAGCTACTCGGGAGGCTGAGGCAGGAGAATGGCGTGAACCCGGGAAGCAGAGCTTGCAGTGAGCCGAGATTGCGCCACTGCAGTCCGCAGTCCGGCCTGGGCGACAGAGCGAGACTCCGTCACAAAAAAAAAAAAAAAAAAAAAGAAAAAAAAAAAGAAAGAAGGAAACCATAACATACTGGAAGAAAGAATCATGGGAGAATTTTTTAGAATCTTAAAGTAAGGAAGGTCTTCTTAAGTACAAAACAAGAGCTGGGCACGGTGGCTCATGCCTGTAATCCCAGCACTTTGGGAGGCTGAGGTGGGCACATCATGAGGTCAGGAGTTCGAGACCACCCTGGCCAACATGGCAAAACCCCGTCTCTACTAAAAATACAAAAATTAGCCGGGCATGGTGGTAATCCCAGCTACTCCAGAGGCTGAGGCAGGAGAATCCCTTGAAACCGGGAGGCGGAGGTTGCAGTGAGCCAAGATTGCGCCGCTGTACTCCAGCCTGGGCAAAAGAGGGAAACTCCGTCTCAATAAATAAATAAATAAGTACAAAACAAAACCAAGATGCCATAACAGAAAAGATTGATAAATTCAGCTATGTAGAAATAAAAAATGTAAGGCAAAAGTCACCATAAGTAGAGTCAGATAACAAATGACTATATGTATATATGTATGCATTTCATATAGGAAAATGAATAATGTTTATATTTGTATTCAGAGCTGAAATCAATAAGAACAAAACCCAAGGGGAAAAATGCACAAAAGATGTGAACTGATAGTTCACAGAAAAAGAAATAGAAATGGCTCTTCAATGCTCACTCTTACTTATAATAATAAGATAAAGGCAAATTAGAATTTCTTTGAAATTACCATTTCTCATCTGTCAGATTGGCAAAGATCTATGATTGATAAGATACTGTGTGGAAAGGAGGGGTGATGTTGAACAGGTATGCTCATATTTTGTTGTTGGGAGTGTAATTGGGATAACTTCTATGGAGGATAATTTAACGGTGGCATTTATAACTTGTCTGAATGCATGTTCCCTTTGACCCAGCAATTTCCCTTTTTTTATTTCAGCAATTTCACTTTTAAAAGTTTAATTTATACACATGCTCAAGCCTTACTTGTAATAGCAAAAGATTGAAAACAACTTAATGTTTTATTTTTATTTTATTTATTTATAGAGACAGGGTCTCACTCTATTGCCCAGGTTGGAGTACAGTGGCCCAATCATCATTCGCTGCATCCTTGAACTCTGGAGCTCAAGCCATCCTCACACCTCAGCTTCCCAAGTAGCTGATACTATAGGCATGGCAGAAAAAATGAAAAAAAAAATTAACTTTTTGTACAGACGGGGTCTGGTTGATGTTGTCTAGGCTGGTCTCAAACTCCTGGCTTCAAGCAATCCATCTGTCTCAGCTTTCCAAAGCACTGGGATTATGGGCGTGAGCCACTGTACCTGGCTTAAATGTTTATTAATACAGACCTGGTTAAATAACAGTGTAGTTATACAATGCATAATCTACAGCCTTAAAAAGGAATGAGAAAGCTTTTTGTCTACTAATAGGGAAATAGCTTCAAAATCTACTGTTAAGTGAAAAAGCAATGCCCTAAATAGAATGTATTGCATGCTAATATTCCTGTAAGAACTGATGATAGTAATATCCGTTCCTAATTGCTTATATATGCATAAAATATCCCCAGAAGAATTTAACAGAAACTTAAATCATTTCTGCAATGAAGAAAACTGGATGGCCAGAGACAGGTAGGAGGAAGATTTTCATAGTGTATAATCTTTTGTATCTTTTTATTTATTTTTTATTTATTTTTACTTTTTTGAGACAGTCTTGTTCTGTCGCCCAGGTTGGAGTGCAGTGGCCCAATCTCTACTCACTGCAACCTCTACCTCACAGGTTCAAGTGATTCTCCTGCCACAGCCTCCCAAGTAGCTGAGACTACAGGTGCCGACCACCACACCTGGCTAATTTTTGTTTTTGTTTTTGTTTTTTGAGGCAGAGTCTCACTTTGTCACCCAGGCTGGAGCACAGTGGCACAATCTCGGCTCACTGCAACCTCTGCTTCCTGGGTTCAGGCAATTCTCCTGCCTCAGCCTCCTGAGTAGCTGGGATTATAGGCGCGTGACACCACGCCTGCCTAATTTTTGTATTTTTAGCAGAGACAGGGTTTCACCATGTTAGCCAGGCTGGTCACAAACTCCTGACCTCAAGTGATCCACCTGCCTCAGCCTCCCAAAGGGCTGGGATTACAGGTGTGAACCACCACACCCGACCTGATTTTTTTTAATCATGAAAATATATAACCTATTTTTAAAGTAAATCAATAATTTTAAAAGTAGTAATTTAGAGTCACTTATTCTACAAGTAAAAATAATTTTTACAATGAGAAATGGCTTTATTGATGTTCTAATTTTTTTTTTTAAGACAAGGTTTGTTCTGTCACCCTGGTTGGAGTGCAGTGGCACAGTCATGGCTCACTGCAGCCTCAACCTCTTGGGCTCAAGCAATCCTCCTGTCTCAGTCTCCCGAGTACCTCAGACTACAGGCACAAACCACCATGCTTGGCTAATGTAAAACAAAGTTGTTGCCGGGCACAGTGGCTCAAGGCTGTATCCCAGCACTTTGGGAGGCCAAGGAGCCAGGCAGATCACTTGAGGTCAGGAGTTTGAGACCAGCCTGGCCAACATGGCCAACATCTCTACTAAACCCCATCTCTACTAAAAAATACAAAAACTAGCCAGCTGTGGTGGTGGGTGCCTGTAATCCTAGCTACTTAGGAGGCTGAGGCAGGAGAATCACTTGAACCCGGGTGGCGGAGGTTGCAGTGAGCCGAGATCGCACCACTGCACTCCAGCCTGGGCGACAGAGCAAAACTCCTTCTTAAAAAAAAAATTTTTTTTAATGTTCTAATTTTAAAAGGGTCTGTACAGTTGTTGTTTTTTTTTTTAGTTTTTGTTGAGTTAATTAGAATCAGGGAGCCAAGATCGTGCCCCTGCACTCCAGCCTGGGTGACAGAGTGAGACCCTGTCTCAAAAAACAAACAACAACAACAAAGACTAAGGAGCACTGTACCAGGAGTCAGGATTGAATTCTAGTCCCTGGCTCTGATACTGGGGAGGTGTGATTTGATGACCTTTAGGCATTTGGCACCCTGAGATGCTGAGGCCTTGGACAAATCTTTCCTCTCCCTTTGGGGATAGGGGCTTGGTTTGATCATCTGTAAAATGTCCTGAGGGAGTAAGTGGTCAGGAGGGGTGAACTTCAAGCTCTCCACCAGTTCTAACATTCTGGCTCTGTGCTTAATCTCTGTCACCCGGGCTGGAGAGCAGTGGCATGACCTCAGCTCACTGCAACCTCCACTTCCTGGGTTCAAGCCATTCTTCCACCTCAGCTTCCTGAGTATCTGGGACTACAGGCATGCACCACCATGCCCAGCTAATTTTTGTCTTTTTAGTAGAGACGGGGTTTTGCCATGTTGGCCAGGCTGGTCTCGAACTCCTGGACTCAAAGGATCTGCCTGTCTCCGGCTCCCAAAGTGTTGAGATTACAGGCGTGAGCCATTGCACCTGGCCCCTAGAGTCTTGATTTATTTAGGCACCTATGACTCCAGGGTAGACAGGAAGTATCTAATATTTAACAAGGGCCATAAGAATTCTGAGATATTACGAGTATACGTGGAAAGTCCTCTTGACATGATGGCTCCAAAACCTCATAGGGGAGCTGGTAAGAACTCCTGACTATGGAATTAGAAATTATTATTATTATTTTATTTAGAGATGGAATCTTGCTCTGTCGCCCAGGCTGGAGTACAGTGGTGCGATCTTGGCTCACTGCAACCTCTACCTCCTGGATTCAAATGATTCTCCTTCCTTGGCCTCCCGAGTAGCTGGGATTATAAGTGTGCACCACCACACCCGGCTACTTTTTTTGTATTTTCAGTAGAGATGGAGTTTCACCATGTTGGCCAGGCTGGTCTCAAACTCCTGACTTCAAGTGATCTGCCCACCTCAGCCTCCCAAAGTACTGAGATTACAGGCATGAGCCACCACTCCCGGCTAATTTCTGTTTTTTTAGTAGAGATGGGGTTTTACCCTGTTGGCCAGGTTGGTCTTCAACTCCTGGCCTCAAGGGATCCACCCGCCTCAGCCTCCTAAAGTGCTGGGATTACAGGCATGAGCCACCATGCCAGCCTGGAATCAGAACTTATATACCCAGAGAAGAAAAAGGTAGATTAAAAAGCAATTAAGTATCTTTTCAACCTATCTTGATTGAAAGGAACAACAAAATGAACGTTTGGTACAGAAAGAAAACAAACTCCTTGGACCTATATGTGTATGTATATATGTACAGTGATGTAAACCAGGCCTTCTTTTTTTTTTTTTTTTGAGATGAAGTCTCACTCTGTCACCCAGGCTGGAGTGGTGCAGTGGTGTGATCTCAGCTCACTGCAACGTCCACCTCCTGGGTTCAAGTGATTCTCCTGCCTCAGCCTCACGAGTAGCTGAGACTACAGGCGCCTGCCACCACTCCCAGCTAAGTTTTGTATTTTTAGTAGAGACAGGGTGTCACCATATTGGCCATGCTGGTCTCGAACTCCTGACCTGGTGATCCACCTGCCTTGGACTCCCAAAGTGCTGGGATTACAGGCGTGAGCCACTGCGCCCAGCCAAACCAGGCCTGCTTATGTGACTGATTAGGCTGACGCTAAGGTCTTCAGCAAGATTACATTTTACCACGCTCTATCTTTTCTATAAATTACAAGTCCTTCTTGTATTTTCTTTACCTTTTTTTTTTTTTTTGAGATAGGGTCTCATTCTGTCTCTCAGGCTGGAGTGCAATGGCATGATGACAACCCTCACTGCAGCCTCCACTTTCCAGACCCAAATGATCATCACACCTCAGCCTCCCAAGTAGCTGGTACTACAGGCGTGTGCTAACATGACCAGCTAATTTTTTTTACTTTTTGTACAGACAGGGTCTCCCTATGTTGCCCAGGCTGGCCTTGAACTCCTGGGCTCAAGTGATTCTCCTGCCTTGGCCTCCCAAAGTGTTGGGATTACAGGCGTGAGCCACCGTGCCCAGCAATTTACTGACTTTTAATGTAAATAAGGAAGGTTAACCTCTATAGCTTGTGAACTACATTTCAGAAAATTACATAAATGTGCAAAACATATTTATTGTCAGAAAGAACATTCGTTTGAGA
Organism: Homo sapiens; assembly: GCF_000001405.40. Taxonomy (NCBI): domain Eukaryota; kingdom Metazoa; phylum Chordata; class Mammalia; order Primates; family Hominidae; genus Homo; species Homo sapiens. The sequence goes on along the minus strand of NC_000001.11, from coordinate 52,715,862 downwards.
AATGTGCCTTCTATTATTCGTTTATAAATGACCTCTCTAGTATTAGCTTTACCTTTTTTTTTTTTTTTTGAGAGAGAGTCTCCCTCTGTACCCTAGGCTGGAGTGCAGTGGCATGATCTCAGCTCACCTCAACCTCTGCCTCCCAGGTTCAAGCAATTCTACTGCCTCAGCCTCCGGAGTAGCTGGGACTACAGGCACATGCCACCATGTCTGGCTAATTTTTGTATTTTTAGTAGAGACGGGGCTTCACCATGTTGGCCAGGCTGGTCTTGAACTCCTGACCTTAAGTGATCCACCTGCTTCAGCCTCCCACAGTGTTGGGATTACAGGCATGAGCCACCGCACCTGGCTTTTTTTCCTTTCCTCACCCCGCAACACATAGTGAAATCTCTGGAGGTGGAAAGCAGTTTGGCAGTTCAGTCTGCTTTTTCTCCCTGAAGTTGCTGGTTTTAGAATAAAGCTGGCTCCAGCTATTTCTGATTCAAACATCAAGGTGAAGAGTATTCCATAGAATATGAAATTAAAGCCCTTGGCTGGGCGCAGTTGTTCACGCCTGTAATCCTAGCACTTTGGGAGGCCGAGGCGGGCGGATTGCTCAGGAGTTCGCGACCAGCCTGGACAACACAGTGAAACCCTGTCTCTACTAAAATACAAAAAAAAAAAAAAAAAAAATAGCATCCGTAAAAAAAAAAAAAAAAAAGGAAATTAAAGCCCTTGGACACAGAGTTTAAAACCAAGGAGGAGAGCTGAAGGTTGCCCAAACTTCTGCTGTGGTTAGGGAGAAATATGTGGCCAAGGTGGGCAAAGAACTGGCTACCGGGTGAAACATCCAAGTGTTAGGGTCATATTTTAAATCAACCATTTAAGGTTGCTATCTCTCCCTCTTCATTGCTGTCATCAACTGAATACATTCATAGAAGACCTTGACGCCTGACTCAATCTGCACTCTACTCCAATAATTGCTAAAGTGTGGGCCCGACCCTTGTTCCCAGGTGAGGCTTGTTAGAAATGCAAATTACTGGGCCACCAAGACCAACTGAATCAGAAATTCTGGGTGTAAGGCCCAGTAAACTGTGTGTGTGTGTGTGTGTGTGTGTGTGTGTGTGTGTGTGTGTGTGTGGTGTGTCTGTGTGTGGTGTGTGTGTGTATGTGTGAGGGATGTGTGTGTGTGATGGGGTCTTGCTATGTAACCTAGGCTGGAGTGCAGAGACTATTCACAGGCGTGATCTCACTGCTGTCCAGCCCAGGAGTTTTGGCCTCTTTTATTTCCAACCTGGCAGTTCACCTTTCCTTAGGCAACCTGGTGGTCCTCTGCTCCTGGGAGATCACCACATTGATGCTGAATTTAGTGCAGACACCTGATTGGCATAGCACACTAGAGCCCAGGATTCCTGTGCTCAAACGATTCTCCTGCCTCTGCCTCCCAAGTAACTGGGACTACAGGTGCATGCCACTGCATCCGGCTAAACTATATTTTAATATGCCTTCCAAGTGATTCTGACTCACACTAAAGTTTGAGAGCAACTGGGCTATTACAATCCTACAACAGCTTGGGTGACTTGAACATCCACCTCAATGACCCATCCAGCTATCCGGCCTTTCTGCTCCTTGACATCCTCGAATCTAATGAGTCTCCCTTTCACTTCAGCCACCCACTCCCATGGCTGCGCCCTAAACCTTGTCAAACTAAAAATTATTTCATGTCTAAAGTCTGAAAACATTCTACATAGTCATCACAATCTTTATCTTTGGACCCTCTCTCTGCCTCTCTCTCTTTTTTTTTTTTGAGACAGAGTCTCGCTGTAGCCCAGGCTAGAGAGCAGTGGCGTGATCTGTGCTCACTACAACCTCTGCCTCCCAGGTTCAAGCGATTCTCCTGTCTCAGCCTCCCAAGTAGCTGGGACCACAGGCACGCACCACGACACCTGGTTAATTTTTGTATTTTTAGCAGAGATGGGGTTTCTCTGTGTTGGCCAGGCTGGCTCTAGACATTTTCAACCCCAGGACAATACCCTCATAGTAATACGGTATTCAGGATAAGTGAAAGGTATAGCTTTTCTTTTAAAAGCAAAGGAAAAGCTATTGTGAAAGTGGAGAAGTGAAAGGTAAATTCTCAGGCAGATTAATGTTAAGGAAGAGTATACACATCAGAGTTGTGAGAAGTGATTACCATAAAATTATTCATGCTTGTGTACCCCATCGAAAATCTTCATGACCCTCCAGGAGGATGGGTTCCCCTGTTTGAAGCCTGAGCTTACAGCATTGCTGTTCTTTCCTCATGGGTCACTCTGGTGCAAGTCTTTATAATTCACATGCCATAAAAAACTCAGTATTTTAAAGTGTACAATTCAGTGGCCCCTGATAACCACTAACCTACACTCTATTTCTGTGGATTTGCCTATTCTGGAGATATATATATATATATTCAAGACAGGAGCTCGCTCTGTCACCTAGGCTGGAGTGCACTGGCATGACCAGGGCTCACTGCAGCCTTGACCTCCTGGGCTCAGGTGATCCTCCCACTTCAGTGTCTTGAGTAGCTGGGTCTACTAGTTGTGCAGCACTATGCCTAGCTAGTTTTTTGTGGTTTTTGCAGAGACAAGATTTCATCATGTTTCCCAGGCTGGTCTTGAACTCCTGGGCTCAAGGGATCCTCCTGCCTGGGCCTCCCAAAGTGCTGAGATTAGCGCAGGGCCGATTCTGGATATTTAATATTAATGAAATTATACAATATGTTGCCTTTTGTATCTGCCTTCTTTCATTTAGCATTATATTTTAAAGATTCATTCATGTTGCAATATGTATCAGAACTTCACTCCATTTTATAGCTAATATTCCATTGTATGGGGGTATCATATTTTGTTTATTCATTCATTAGATGATGGACATTTGGGGTGTTTCCAATTTTGGCTACTATGGATAATGCTGCTATGAACATTGGTGGACAAGTTTTTATGTGAATATTTACCTTCATTTCTCTTGGATATACACCTAGGAGTGGAATTGCTGGGTCAGGTGGTAACTCTAACTTACTTATTTTTTTTTTTGAGACGGAGTCTCACTTTGTCACCCAGGCTGGAGTGCAGTGGCACGATCTCAGCTCACTACAACCCCTGCCTCCCGGGTTCAAGTGACTCTACTGCCTTAGCCTCTTGAGTAGCTGGGATTACAGGTGTGTACCACCACACCCGGGTAATTTTTGTAATTTTAGTAGAGACAGGGTTTCACCATGTTGGTCAGGCTGGTCTCAAACTCCTGACCTTGTGATATGCCCACCTTGGCCTCCCAAAATACTGGGATTACAGGTGTGAGCCACCATGCCCTGCCAACTCTAACTTTTTAGTGAACTGCTGAACTGTTTTTCAAGACAGCTGTACCATTTTGCATTCCCACTAGCGGTGTCTAAGAGTTCCAATTTCTCCACATCCTCATCAACACTTGTTATTGTTCATCTTTTTTGTTACAGTAATCCCAGTGGGTGCAAAGTAGTATCTCATTTTGGTTTTAATTTGCATTTTCCTAATGAGTAATGATGTTGAGCATCTTTCAATGTGCTTTAAAGCTCTCTCAAGGCTCAAACCTTCAAATGATTCTCCTGCCTCAGCCTCCCGAGTAGCTGGGACTACAGGCACGTGCCACCACGCTCAGTTAATTTTTGTATTTTTAGTAGAGATGGGGTTTCACCATATTGGCCAGGATGGTCTCGATATCTTGACCTCATGATCCTCCTGCCTCAGCCTCCCAAAGTGCTAGGATTACAGGCATGAGCCACCACGCCCAGCCTCAGGAATTTTCAATGGCTCTACAACTCCTATAGAATAAGGGCCCTTTTTTTTTTTTTTTTTGAGGCAATTTCCCTCTTGTCATCCAGGCTGGAGTGCAGTGGCACAATCTCGGCTCACTGCAACCTCCGCCTCCCAGGTTCAAGCGATTCTCCTGCCTCAGCCTCCAGAGTAGCTGGGATTACAGGCACCTGCCATTGCGCCTGGCTAATTTTATTATTTGTAGTAGAGATGGGGTTTCACCATCTTGGCTAAAAATTAGCACCTGGCTAATTTTTTATATTTTAGTAGAGATGGGGTTTCATTGTGTTGCTCAGGCTGATCTTGAACTCCTGAGCTCAGGCTGTCCACCCACCTTGGCCTCCCAAAGCGCTAGGATTACACGTGTGAGCCACTGTGCCTGGCCAAGGGCCACACTCTTAATCTGACAATTGAGGCACTTTTCCATCTGGCCTGTCTCTATGCTTTGAGCATCAACACTTGCACTCCATGTCTTCTGGCTCTGCTCTAGCTATACTGAATTACTCGTAGCTCTTGGAATATATAGTGCTACTTTAAGCCTTTGTGTATTTGCTCATGGCTTTCTTTCCACCAGGAAACCCTTTCTTGCTTTCTTCAAATGTGCCTTCCACTTGCATTTACTACTAGATTGAGACATCACTTGCACTCCATGTCTTCTGGCTCTGCTCTAGCTATACTGAATTACTCGTAGCTCTTGGAATATATAGTGCTACTTTAAGCCTTTGTGTATTTGCTCATGGCTTTCTTTCCACCAGGAAACCCTTTCTTGCTTTCTTCAAATGTGCCTTCCACTTGCATTTACTACTAGATTGAGGCATCTCCTCCTCACAGCCTTTCCTGATCACCCTTCCATAATTAGGTTAATTGTCTTTCATGAGCTTCCCTCTGAAGAGTCTACTCTGTTGCGATTGTGCCTTTCGTTTGCTTCCCAAATAGGCTGTGAGCTCCTCTGGAGCATTGACTGGATTTGATTTACCTCTTTCTTTTTTTTTCTTTTTTTTTTTTGAGATGGAGTCTTGCTCTGTCACCCAGGTTGGAGTGCAGTGGTGCGATCTCCGCTCACTGTAAGCTCCACCTCCCAGGTTCACACCATTCTCCTGCCTCAGCCTCCTGAGTAGCTGGGATTACAGGTGCCCGCTACCATGCCCGGCTAGATTTATCTCTCTCTTTAGGGCCCAGAACATGGCCTGACTGGAAGGCATTAATTTCATGGTATCCTGTTGTCCCTCAAATGCCCTCTGGCTCAAGTGCTAAGAACCTTTTCATTTCCTCAAGAGAAGGCAAAGCCAGCTTACCTTTAGGCATCTTAACCCAGACCTCAGACAGAAAACCTTCCAGTTGCAAGAGTATGTAATAGTTAAGACATTTTAAAAAGGAGCAATAAGGTAATATTTTACTCCTTAATATTAATCCATTTTATTTCATCTCATCAACTATGGGCACTGGATTACCTTTCTTATTGTCAATATTTGTTATGCCTTATTATGGGCAGACACCTTCACTTTTATGTAATTTTCTTATTGGAGGGGTGACATGGAATACAGTACTTGTTAGGAGCATGGACTCTACAGCAAGCCATTCTGCCTGGGTTTCACTCCCAGCTCCACATTTACTAGCCATGTGATCTTAGAGAATTTATGTGACACATCTGTGTGTCTGTTTCTTTTCTTTTCTTTTTTTTTTAGATGGAGTCTCACTCCGTCTCCCAGGCTGTAGTGCAGTGGCGCGATCTCGGCTCATTGCAACCTCCACCTCCCAGGTTCAAGCAATTCTCCTGCCTCAGCCTCCAGAGTAGCTGGGATTACAGGCGCCTGCCATTGCAGGCTAATTTTATTATTTGTAGTAGAGATGGGGTTTCACCATCTTGGCCAGGCTGGTCTTGAACTCCTGACCTCATGATCCACCTGCCTCGGCCTCCCAGAGTGCTGGGATTACAGGCATGAGCCACCACACCCAGCCGTGTCTGTTTCTTTACCTATAAAATTGGCGTGATAATCTTACTTAACTCATAGCATCTAGCAGATTAACTGAGTTACTATATATTTATACTATTACATATAGAAGGCTCTTAAAATAGGACCTGGCAAGGCCAGCCACAGTGGCTTAGTTATATAATTCCAGAACTTGGGAGGCCAAGGAGGGTGGATTACTTGAGGCCAGGAGTTCAAGACCAGCCTGGCCAACAGGGCCAAACCCCATCTCTACTAAAAATACAAAAATTAGCCAGGCGTTGTGGTGCACACTTGTAGTCCCAGCTACCCAGGAGGCTGAGGCAGGAGAATTGCTTGCGCCCCCGAGGCAGAGGTTGCAGTGAGCAGAGATCGTGCCACTGCACTCCAACCTGGGCGACAGAGCAAGACTCCATCTCAAAAAATAAAAAAAAAAAAAGAAAGAAAAAAATAGGACTTGGCAAGATATAACTGTTATATAAGCATTGGCTATTATTATAAAATCCTCCTGCAAATCCTGCAAGCTAGACATTATTTTTTTGGGGGGTGGGGAATGGAGCAATCCTTTATTTTTACACACTTTGACAAGGAGGTTTTCTGTAAACAACCTTTCCAGTGGAGAACAGAGAACAGGAAAATCAGCCTCCAGACATCAGCAGCTGCTCTGTTCAGGGCCAAGGCTCTGCATTGTCCACATGGTGAGGTGGAGGGGTGTACTTCCCTTCCTTTATCAGCTTATCCCGCTGCTTCCTAATGGTACTCAGACGTCTCATCGTTTTCTGCTAAAGTATACACTCTACAAAATCATCATATTCTATCTTGCACTCCTTCTCTGCCTGGATACTAACGATTCCATGTGCACATTCTATCCATTCTTTTTGAAAAGCCTGGCATCGAGCAGGAATCTTGTAGGGCTGTTCAGCACTTTGGATTGTCCACCATCAATCTATGTTAAGGCTGAACCTTTTCAGCACATCCAAGAAAGGCATGGCGATCCAATGCTTATGCCCTTGTCTCTTTTCTGGCCCCCACCCCCCCACTTTTTTTTTTTTTTTCTGAGACAGGGTTGAGTCTCACTCTGTTACCCAGGCTAGAGTGCAGTGGCATGATCTTGGCTCACCGCAACCTCTGCCTCCTGGGTTCAAGTGATTCTCCTGCCTCAGCCTCCCGAGTAGCTGGGACTACAGGTGTGTGCCACCATGCCTGGCTAATTTTTGTATTTTTAGTAGAGACGGGGTTTGGCCATGTTGGCCAGGCTGGTCTCAAACTCCTGAACTCAGGTGATCCGCCCACCTCGGCCTCCCAAAGTGCTGGGATTACAGGCATGAGCCACCACACCCGGCCCAGGGGACTCTTCTATAAGAGGGTGCTGTGTCCATCTCCTACAGATTATGCATCTACCAGGAACAATGTATGTGTGTTTTGGAATGGTGATAAAATTATACTTCCCTAGTCATTCTCACCTGTCATCTACTATTCACTGTTCTAGCCTTTTCCTAGGAGGTCAGATGCTTGTAAATAATTTATTCTCCAACAAAAAGAGCCTTTCCTAAACTAGGAATTCCTTGGCAGTGTGGGAGTAAATTCCCTAACTGATGATAACTCTTTTACTGCACATTCTTTTCACTGGGCATGTGCTCAATAAATACCTCTCCTTTGTGTCATGCTGTGTGCTGGACACTGAGGACACAGAAATAGATAAAACCCAGGCCCTGCCCTCAAGGTACTCAAGTCTAGTAGGAAGGGAAGGAAGACAACAGAAAAAGAACATGGTAAGTACTCTTATAAAAAGAAGCATGTTTGTGTGTGGTGGCTCATGCCTGTAGTTTCAGTTACTCAGGAAGCCGAGGCGGGAGGATAGACTGAGTCCAGGAGTTTGAGGCTGCAGTGCACTATGGTCATGCCTGTAAAATAGCCACTGCACTCTAGCCTGGGCAACGTAGTGAAACCCTGTCTCAAAAAAGAAAAAAAAAAAAAAGGAAGCAGAGCACTTGCTAAAGCACAGAGGCAACCAGCCTGGTGGTGGGGGCAGTCAGTGGTCAGAGCAGGCTTCCTGAAACAGGCACTACTTGACCTGGGTTGTTGTTGTTGTTGTTGTTGGTTTTTTTTTTTTTTTTGAGACGGAGTTTCGCTCTTGTTGCCCAGGCTGGAGTGCAATGGCACAATCTCAGCTCACCACAACCTCCGCCTTCTGGGTTCAAGCGATTGTCCTGCCTCAGCCTCCCAAGTAGCTGGGATTATGGGCATGTGCCACCATGCCCTGCTAATTTTGTATTTTTAGTAGAGACAAGGTTTCTCCATGTTGGTCAGGCTGGTCTCGAACTCCCAACCTCAGGTGACCTGCCCGCTTCGGCCTCCCAAAGTGCTGGGATTACAGGCGTGCGCCACCGTGCCTGGCCTTGACCTGGGTTTTGAAGGAAAAATAATTACCTTAATTAACGGAGAGGGAAGAGCATTCTAGGCATAGGGAATCACATGTGTGAAGGCACTGGAACGTGAAAGCAGGTGATGTTTATAGGGTCAACAAATAATTTGGGATGAGGTTCAAAGAGTGTGTATGGGAGGGAAGAGAACAAGCTGGAAAGGCAGGCTGGGGCGGATAGCAAGGTTTGTGGCCAAAGGTTAGGGGCGTAGACTTTAATGCCATGTGACATTTAGTTCCAGTTCTCTACTGGCACAACTGCTTTTTTCTGACAGTCAGTATTTGGTTACATTTAGAAGTCCAGATTAGTTTTTTCACTCAACAACATGGGCTGAGCACCTCACTGTGTCAGTTTTTATGTGCAGGCAGGAGGGCTCAGGAATAGACTTTTGGGGTCACAGCCTGAAATCTTGTGAGCTTTTTTTAGAAGGCAGTAAATCTCACCCCTGACTTGAGATGATTTGTCCTAAAACCTGATCCCTTCCTTGTCCTTGGTGTTGCAACCCTTCTTCCTCATTTGGATTTCCATGAGCATGCTGCAGTGAGCTGGGTCCACACACACATTATGGGAATGGCTATAATCAGAAGCCGAGCCAGCCAGCTTAGGTGGTGAACACATGCCCGTTGTGCTCTGGCACGTGAGTCTCATGAATGAGATGGAGCAGGCAGAGAATATCAGGTCCCTACTCTTTGGGATTTCATAGTCTTAAAAGCAGAAAGTTGGCCGGGCGCGGGGGCTCATGCCTGTAATCCCAGCACTTTGGGAGGCTGATGCAGGTGGATCGTGAGGTCAGGAGTTCAAGACCAGCCTGGCCAAGATGGTGAAACCCCCCTCTCTACTAAAAAAAAATACAAAAAAATTAGCCGGGCGTGGTGGTGGGTGTCTGTAATCCCAGCTACTCAGGAGGCTGAGGTAGAGAACTGCTTGAACCCAGGAGGTGGAGGTTGCAGTGAGCCGAGATCGCGCCACTGCACTCCAGGCTGGGGGCCAGAATGAGACTCCATCTCAAAAAAAAAGAAAAAAAAAATTAGATCTGGAGGCATTGTTATAAGTTATTAACCACATAGCATAAACGGAGCACTTACAAAGTGCTTCACTCTGTGTTGGGACCTGGAAGGCAAATAAAGAAATCATATTTGGTTCCTATCCTTAAGGTGCTCCCAGTCTGGTAAAACAGGCGATGACCACAGTGCTTCAGGAAGTGGAGGAGCCCTCAGCTGGCTAACCACAGCCCACTGTCAACCAGTAGGGGTTAGGAAGGCATCCTAGACAAGGACTGGTGGTCGGGCAACATAGTTTGAACTGACACTGGAGAGACGTGGAAAGAGCAGCCCACACAGACAAAACAGCCTGAGGAGTTCAGAGAAGAGGAGTGGGTCAGAGGGATTGGTTTGTCTAGTATAGGTGGGGAAGTAGCAAGTGGAGTGGTTGGCGGGGGCCAGATGGGAGGGCCTGGAATGCTGAGCTAAGGATGCGGGCATTGTGGAGCCTTTGGTTTCCAAATGGGGGTGACACAGCTCTTTTAGAAAGACAAGTCCCTTTCATTCCTGGGCTCAGTGCGCTCACCTGTAAAATGAGGGAGTTGAAGATTATTTTCAAAATCATTCCAGTGCATGTATCCTGTGATTTACAGCATTGCTTCTTAAAGTTTATTGTGTATCTGTGTCACCTGGGGATCTCAGTAAAATGCATATTCTGGCCAGGCAGTGTGGCTCACACCTGTAGTCCCAGCTATTTGGGAAGCTGAGGTGGGAGGATTGCTTGAGCCCAGCCTGGGCAACATAATGAGACCCCAGTCTCTAAAAATAATAATAATTTTAGGCCGGGTGCGGTGGCTTATACCTGTAATCCCAGCAGTTTGGGAGCCCAAGGCAAGTGGATCACCTGAGATCAGGAGTTTGAGACCACCCTGGCCAACATGGTGAAACTCTGTCCCTACTAAAAATACAAAAATTAGCTGGGCGTGGTGGCACATGCCTGTAATCCCAGCTACTCAGGAGGCTGAGGCAGGAGAATCACTTGAACCTGGGAGGCGGAGGTTGCAGTAAGCCAAGATTGTGCCATTGCACTCCAGCCTAGGTGAGAAGAGCAAAACTCCATCTCAAGAAAATAATAATAACTTTTAAAATGCATATTTTGGTTCAGTAGGTGTGGTGGGGGTCCCAAGGTTCTCCATGTCTACTAGGATCTCAAATGATATGGATGCTGCTGTTCCTCAAGCCACACTTTGAGTAGCAAGGATTTAGTTCTTGGGTACTCAAAGTGTAGTCTGAGGTCCAGCCTTTGTAAGTCATACAATGTTCTATAAGTTATCTCATTAGGGCCAGGCGCGGAGGCTCACACCTGCAATCTCAGCACTTTGGGAGGCCAAGGCGGGTGGATCACCTGAGGTCAGGAGTTTGAGACCAGCCTGACCAACATAGAGAAACCCTGTCTCTACTAAAAATACAAAATTAGCCGGTGTGGTGGCGCATGCCTGTAATCCCAGCTACTCAGGAGGCTGAGGCAGGAGAATCACTTGAACCCAGGAGGCAGAGGTTGCAGTGTGTCAAGATCGCGCCATTGCACTCCAGCCTGGGCAACAAGAGCAAAACTCCGCCCCCCCCCCCCCCCCGAAAAAAAGTTATCTCATTAGAAATAGTGTGCTACCTAATTTTTACAGTGTTTTAAGGTTTGCAAAGAGATATACAAACCTTATTTCCTTCACTGCTTTCAGCAGTTCTTCTTGAGAGGTAATTTTTTTTTTTTCTGAGACAGGGTCTCACTCTGTCATCCCACCTGGAGTGCAGTGGCAAAATCATGGCTCACTGAAGTCTCAAATTCCTGGGCACAATCAGTCCTTCCGCCTCAGCCTCCCAAGTAGCTAAGACTACAAGCACATGCTGCCACACCTGGCTAATGTTTTTATTTTTTGTAGAGACGGGGTCTCTTTATGTTACCCAGGCTGGTCTTAAACTCCTAGGCTCAAGGGATCCTCTCACCTTGTCCTCCCAAAGTGCTGAAATTACAGGCATGAGCCACAGCACCTGGCCAAGACAACATTTTCATGGTTATGTAAAACACCCTTTAAACTTCGGTATTGAGGTTGGTTTGTCTTTTCCCAGCATCAAGGTGGGGTAGAGATTGGGAGTCCCATTTTACAGATGAGAAGACTGAGGATATAAAAAGAGAATAAAAGAGAATGGATTTAGCCAAAGCTGAACAAACACTATGGAAGTGGCAGAACAGTAATTAGTATTGAAACCTCTATTCCAGTGCTTATTTCCAGCAAATGTCTTTTTTTATTTTTATTTTTTATTTTTTGAGATGGAGTCTCACTCTGTCGCCCAGGCTGGAGTGCAGTGGCACGATCTTGGCTCACTGCAACCTCTGCCTCCCGGTTTCAAGTGATTCTCTGCCTCAGCCTCCCAAGTAGCTGGGATTACAGGCACATGCCACCACGCCCAGCAAATTTTTTTGTATTTTTAGTAGAGACGGGGTTTCACCATCTTGGCCAGGCTGATCTTTAACTCCTGACCTCATGATCCACCTGCCTCGGCCTCCCAAAGTGCTGGGATTACAGGCATGAGCCATTATGCCCGGCCTTTTTAAAATTTAATTTAATTTTATTCTTTGTCTTTTTTGAGATGGAGTTTCATTCTTGTTGCCCAGGCTGGAGTACAATGGCACGATCTCAACTCACTGCAACCTCTGCCTCCCCAGTTCAAGTGATTCTCCTGCCTCAGCCTCTCACGTAGCTGGGATTACATGCACCCGCCACCATGCCCAGCTAATTTTTGTATTTTTGGTAGAGACAGGGTTTCACCATGTTGGCCAGGCTGGTCTCGAACTCCTGACCTCAGGTGATCTATCCACCTCAGCTTCCCAAAGTGCTGGGATTATAGGTGTGAGCTACCACACCGGCCTCCTGGCCCTTTTTTTTGAGAGAGAATCTCACTCTGTCACCCAGGCTGGAGTGCAGTGGTGTGATCTCTTCTTACTGCAACCTCTGCCTCTTGGGGTCAAGCAATTCTCCTGCCTCAGCCTCGCAAGTAGCTGGGACTACAGGTGCCTGCCCAGAGGGAAGAGTATGACGCTGTCACTAACTTGCTGCGTATCCTGGGACAAGCCCCTTTCCTCTCCGGACCTTGGTCCTTTTCCCTGTAAAGCAGGTGCCTGTCCAGCTTAAAGCACAGCCCGGGAGCCTCAGAGACAGGCAGGAAGTCAAGGTTGCAATAATTCGGGTTTCCGAAAGCTTTGCGCTTGCCCTAGGCCCGACAGGTCACGTGGGGACTACGTGATGTGCAATCGCCGCTGTTGAAACAAGAGCATGTGCAGGGCTGGCAGCTGTCACGGCCTTTCTATATCTTGGGGGGATGGGGAGTGATGAGGTGAGGAAGGGCTGCAGGCTCTACGGGCACGGGCTTGAGGGGGTTGACTGGCCAAAGCAGGAAGGGCAGGGCGTCTCCACGGCTAACCCACAAAATGCTGAGAGTCCCGAGGGGATCTGCAGAGGACGGCGAGCTGGGCAGCCCCCGAGCAAGCCACCTGGAACCTCCCTCAGCTGCACCAGCCACTCAGAAAGATCGGGTCCGTTTAGACACGAGCACCAATCTCAGGCCTCCAAAGTGACCTCACAGCAAACGTGATTGGTCCGGTCTCTCTCACGGGGCGGCTCCTTTACCAACGTGTAACCCTTTGGGAGAGGTTTAGCGGGCTGTGTGACCTGGTGGAAATCACTTTACTTATCTGGACCTCCTTTATAAAAAGGAGGTATTAAGACCTATCCCGAGGCCTGGAGCGGTGGCTCACGCCTGTAATCCCAACGCGTTGGGAGGCCGAGAATGGATAATCTTTCTAACAAATGGTGCTAGAGTAATTATAAACCCACATGCAATAAAGTGAACCTCAACTGTTATCTCATACCTCATACAAAAATTAATCTGAAATGGATCATAGGCTTTCTAAATATAAGATTTAAACCATAAAATTTCTACAAGAAAATATAGGATAAAATCTTAGTGACTTTGGGTTTGGCAAAGACTTCTTGAATACGAAAGAAAAAGCACAAACTATTAACAAGAGGAAAAAAATCAATAAACTAGACACACCATTAAAATGAAAAACTTTTGGTTTTGAAAGACACTGTTATAAAAACAAAAAAGGCAGGCCAAACTGGGAGAAAATATATGCAAAACTTCTGATAACGGACTTGAATATATAAATAACTCTTAGAATGCAATAATAAAAAACAATCCAATAAAAAGGGGGCGAAAGATTTTAACAAACATGTCATCAAAGATACACAGATGGCAGATAAGCACATGAAAAGATGCCAACATTATTGGTCACTCAAAAAAATACAAACTAAACCTATGATAAGATACTGTTATATTCACTATAATGGCTAAAATTTTAAAAGACTGACCACACATCAAATTATGGTGAGGATGTAGGGCAACTAGAACTGTCAAACACTGCTGGTAAGAATGTAATGGTAGAATCACTTTAGAAAACAGTTTGGGTGTTTCTTAAAGTTAGATATATACCTACCATATGATCTAGCCATTCCACTCCTAGGTATGAACCCCAAAAATGGAAATGAATGCCCATACAAAGACACGTACACAAATATTCACAGCAGCTTTATTTGTAAGCCAAAAACTGGAAACCCAAATGGATAAACAAATTGTGATATATCTACATCATGAAATGTCATTCACTAAGAAAAAGAATGAACTATTAATACGTGTGGTAACATGGATGAATCTCAAAATAATTATGCTGAATCGAAGAAACTATACAAAAAGAAACAGTACTTACTGTATCATTCTATTTAGATAATATCCTACAAAATGCAACCCATCTTCAGTGACAGAAAGCAGATTAATGGTTGCTGGGGAGGGAATGAAGTACAAAGTCACATGAGGAAATTTTGAGGTGATGAATATGCTCATTATCTTGATTGTGATAATGGTTTACAGGTGTATACATATGTAGAAACTCATAATTGTTACTTTAAAGTTATGTGCAGTTTCCTGTATGTCAATTAGACCTTCATTTAATGTTTCTTATAGCTTTAAGAAAAACCTGGGTCAAAAGAGCAAGAGTCAGTGATATTCTAAGTTCCATTAATGAAAACCAAATTATTTGGAATGATAATCCCTCTTCTTAATTCAGTCAACAATACTTGGGCACCTAATATTGCTGGGCACAATCAAGACACTGTTATTATAACAAGAATGAGCTAAGACCACATGGACGATGTCAAATTGAAGCAGAGAACTTAAGAAGGCAAGCCAAAAAAAAAAAAAAAATACAGGGGAAAAGCACTCTAGGGCAGAGGCAACAGTTAGTTCAAACGGATCACGAGGTCAGGAGTTCGAGACCAGCCTGGCCGATATGGTGAAACCCCATCTCTACTAAAAATACAAAAATTAGGCGGGCATTGTGGTGGGCGCCTGTAATCCCAGCTATTCAGGAGGCTGAGGCAGGAGAATTGCTTGAAACCGTAAGGCGGAGGTTGCGGTGAGCCAAAATCACGCCACTGCACTCTAGCCTGGATGAAAGAGCAAAACAAAAAAAAGTGACCTCTTACTTGGTTGAGCCTCTCATCACCAACTAACTCTCTTGTGCCCTCTACCGCTCAGGTGATCTCATTTCAATGCAGTTCAACTCAGAAAATAAAGGGAAACATTCCCAGATTTTAGTAATCGACATCACCCTGCTCTATTCTATCATCAAGCCCTATTCTATTCTTGGCCCTGTGACCAGCATACAGGACACAGAGGTCACAGTCTGGTGGGGAACACAGACTTTCATGCCATTATTGGCATGACAAGAAACATTCCTGGAACAGGAATGACTTTGAGCCAGGCGCTCTGCCAAGCACATTGCATACATGAACTTGTAGTCCTTCTGACAGCCATTACAAATGGATCTGCATTTACAGAAGAGGATTCAGACTCACAAACATGATTGGTTTAAGGTTACAATTTAATAAACATGGAACATGGATTCTGAACTAAGATCTGTCCCCACTCCAAAGCCAGTTCTTTCTTTCCTACTACACTATACCAGAATAAACCAAGTGGTGTGGAACACCAAAATGGGAGCATCTAAATCTAATTTGAATGTGTGTAATTGTTGTGTCTGGGAAGACTTTACATAGGAGAGTATTTCCGATTTGTGTCAAAAAGGGTGGTCCAGGCATCAAGAGCAGAGGTAAACAGGGACACAAACTTGGGATCTATTCAGAGAACAGAAGGTTGGTGGGATGTGGGGGAAGAGAGGCAGAAAATAAGGCTAGAATCAGATTGCACAGGGTCTTGAAGGCCATCCTAAAGAAGATGACCTCAAACCAAAGTTCAAGGATTCCCATCCTGGGCCATGTGTACTGAGGAGTCCCCTAAGGTGATCAGGGTATAAGAAACCACAGGTAAATGTGGTATATTGCCTGGAATGTCAATTTTACTCAAAGGCTTGGGGGAGAAAAGGCAATCTTCTGTTATCCTATGAAAGATGTATTATGGGGAAATGAATGTAAAATCCTATGAATTTAAAAAATAAAACTGGGATTTCAGACATTATTGGCTGCCTTCCAATAAATAAGTGGTTGGAAATAGTCCATTCTTTGCTGCCATTGGGGATAGCTTAATAATGGAGCCATTTGGAAAGCATTGTTATAGGCGATGGGAAGCCATGGATTTAGCTCCATTGAGAATTCAAAAGTAGGGCTGGATGGAATTCAAAGATGAATGGGAAGTCAGCCGGGTGTGGTGGCTCACGCCTGTAATCCCAGCACTTTGGGAGGCCGAGGCCAGCGGACCACCTGAGGTCAGGAGTTCAAGACCAGCCTGGCCAATATAGTGAAACCCTGTCTCTACTAAAAATACAAAAAAAATTAGCCGGGCGTGGTGGTGGGCACCTGTAAGCCCAGCTACTCGGGAGGCTGAGGCAAGAGAATCGCTTGAACCTGGGAGGCGGAGGTTGCAGTAAGCTGAGACCGCGCTATTGCACTTCAGCCTGGGCAACAAGAACGAAACTCCGTCTCAAAAAAAAAAAAAAAAAAGACGAATAGGAAGTGGCTGTCTTAGGAGAACTTTCCATCTAAGCTTTATGGAACTGATGATTCTTAGCAGGAACAGGAGCAGGAAAACAAAGCAAAATGTAGGTAAATTTCCTCTCCTCCTCCCCATCTCCTTGACATGTTCCTTTTCTACCTCATTCATTCTTTTTCGCTCTTGTCGCCCAGGCTGGAATGCAATGGCACAATTTCGGCTCACTGCAACCTCCACCTCCCAGGTTAAAGCAATTCTCCTGCCTGAGCCTCCCAAAGAGCTAGGATTACAGGTGTGCTCCCTGTAATTTTGTATTTTTAGTAGAGACCCCTGCTAATTTTGTATTGTTAGTAGAGACAGAGTTTCACCAGGTTGGCCAGGCTGGTCTCGAACTCTTGACCTCAGGTGATCCACCCACCTCGGCCTCCCAAAGTGCTGGGATTACAGGCGTGAACCACCGCGCCCGGCCTCATTCATTCTTTTATTTTTTTAAAAAAAATTATTATTGCATACCAACTCCCTCACTTACTGTGTGACCTTGGACAAACTACTTAATTTCTCTGTACTTTAGTTTTCTTATCTGTAGAATGGGGATAATAATAATACCTACCCACAGTGTCACTGTGAGTGTTTTTACAGTGACATGATATATAATGAGAATTAAATGAGTTAATTCATATAAAGCATTTAGAGCCTGGAACAAAGTTCAGCACTGTTTGAGTACTAGGTGTTATAACAGTGACGTTGCTACACCCTTCACTGCTACTGTGTGCCAGTCAACATCTCCCATAGCCATTCATTGCTTAGGTAATTCATGTTGGTGGCCAAGACAGGTCTGGGAAGAAGACAGATGAATCAGACTGCTCACTGCACTTTGTCCAGCTACACCTGGCACATATAGAAGCTCCTCTAAATGCTTGCTGAATGGATAAGCGAATGTCTTCCTATTGAACTCCAAGTTCTTTGAAGGCAGGGACCATATTCCTAGCTGTCATATCCCTAGAACAATGCACTGGTGAGGCACACAGTAGGCGCTTAGGGATTATACATAGATAAATGACTGCAGGTGGAAAATCACTAAGGCTACAAAGCGAGCATAGGTAAGGTGCTGCAGAGAGACAGCCCCCAGTTTCAGGAAGGCGGTAGCCCTGGAAGCGTGGCTGCCAGCGCCCTTAACGGCGCGATGGCTGCTGGGAAGCACAGGCTCGCTTGGCTCGCCCCGGGATCCCGGGAGAGCGCCGCGGTTGGCGTCGGCGTCAGCCCCACGCCCCGCCCCGCCCCCTCCGCCGGCTCACGTGACCGTCTTTGGGCCGGCGCGAACCATGGCCGGCATGGTGGACTTCCAGGATGAGGAGCAGGTCAAGTCCTTTTTGGAGAACATGGAGGTGGAGTGCAACTACCACTGCTACCACGAGAAGGACCCGGACGGTGAGCGGCTCCAGCGCAGCCCGGCGACGCGTCGGGGAGGGACGTGCCCGGAGAGGTCTGGTCTGCGACCTCTGAGAGGCTGGAGAAGGAATCACGTGGCGGGCGGGGGACGGGGTCTGTGGATCGCGGTGACCGCGTGTGTTGGGAAGGGCGATGTGTCCCGGGAAGACCGAGCCAGGAGGCCGGGGCGGGTAGGAAGAGACGTGCTGGGGCTTTTGGGTTAGGGACTGGGGATCCATCGGTGAACAGATGAAACTCCCTGCCCTCGTGGAGCTTCCAAGCTAGTGCGGGGAGTCGGGCAATAAGCCTCAGGTAATTCATGAAATCGTGTTCGAAAGTAGTAAGTACCGGCCGGGAGCCGTGGCTCACGCCTATAATCCCAGCACTTTGGGAGGCTGAGGCGGGTGGATCACGAGGTCAGGAGATCGAAACCATCCTGGCTAACACGGTGAAACCCTGTCTCTACTAAAAATACAAAAAATTAGCCGGGCGTGGTGGCAGGCGCCTGTATTCCCAGCTACTCGGGAGGCTGAGGCAGGAGAGTGGTGTGAACCCGGGAGGCGGAGCTTGCAGTGAGCAGAGATCGCGCCACTGCACTCCAGCCTGGGCGACAGAGCGAGACTCCGTCTCAAAAAAAATAAATAAAAAGAAAGTAGTAAGTGCCGTGGAAAAAAGACTGGGTGAAGGGTGTCAGGAGGGCAGGAGGGCAGTTTTAAATTGAGTGATCAGGGAAGATCACTGAGAAAGTGGCAATTGAATAAAGCCTTGAAGAAGGTAAGGGAGTGAACCATGCAGTTCTTACCATAGGTAACAGCTGGCGAAGACGCCCTGAATCACAAATGTGTCCTGTGTGTTGTGTGAACATTGAATTGACTTAAGAGTATAGGTGGATGGTGGTGACCAGAGGGGTCCACCCAGAGCAGCTAATACCTTTGGGTGGTTTTCTTCTTCTTGCTTTATTTTTATTTTTTGTATTTTCTTTCTTTTTTGAGATAGTATGTCACTACGTTGTCCAGGCTGGTCGCAACTCCTGGGCTCAAGTGATCCTCCCGCCTTTGATTACAGGCATGAACCACTGCACACTGCCTACTTTTTAATTTTTTTGTTTTTTTGAGACTGAGTCTCACTCTGTCACCCAGGCTGGAGTACAATGGCTCGATCTCAGCTCACTGCAACCTTTGCCTCCTGGGTTAAAGCAATTCTCCTGCCTCAGCCTCCCGAGTAGCTGGGATTACAGGCACCCACCACCAGGCCTGGCTAATTTTTGTATTTTCGTAGAGACAGGGTTTCACCATGTTGGCCAGGCTGGTCTCGAACTCCTGACCTCAAGCAATCCATCTGCCTTGGCCTCCCAAAGTGCTGGGATTACAGGTGTGAGCCACCGTGCCCAGCCTTTTTTTTTTTTTTCTTTCAAATAAAGGACTGGTGTGGTGGCACAAGCCTGTAATCCTAGCTCTTTGGGAGGCTGAGGTGAGGTGGGAGGATCACTTGAGGCCAGGAGTTCAAGACCAGCCTGGGCAATATGATGAAACCCTGTCACTACTAAAAAAAAAAAGAAAAGAAAAAAAGTGGCACTGGCCCTACCTTCTAATAGCTTGCAGTTTAGTCAGTTTAGTTTGCAGAAATGACATAGCTATTCCTTGAGGCTAATCCGTAACATAGACCATAACACAACCATATACATATCATAACATAGTCATGACACAGAGTTGCTCTGCAGTATGATGGCTTGAAAAGAACCTGGGGTTGGGCCGGGCACAGTGGCTCACGCCTGTAATCCCAGCACTTTGGGAGGCTGAGGTGGGCAGATCACCTGAGGACAGGAGTTCAAGACCAGCCTGACCAATATGATTAAACTGTCTCTACTAAAAATACAAAAATTAGCCGGACGTGGTGGCATGCGCCTGTAATCCCAGCTACTCGGGAGGCTGAGACAGGAGAATGGCTTGAACCTGGGAGGCGGAGGTTGCAGTGAGCTGAGATCGCGCCATCACACTCCAGCCTGGGCAACAAGAGTGAAACAACGTCTCAAAAAAAAGAACCTGGGGTTGTTCTTTGAGAGCTGGTCCATGTCCTAAGTATAGAAAGAACTTAGAGGAATTGGGGTCACTAAGGAACAGGGTGGTTAGGGAAGACTTTGAGGGGAGGTCTGGAGGGCTGGGCAAGTGTTGATTAAATGGAGGAGAGGGTGGGAGAAGAAAGTGCTATCTTTTGGAAGGTTGAAGTCAGGATTTAGTACGTTTGAAGCGGGAGTCTGGCCCACAGTATGTCAGGGCTTGAATGCCAGGGTAAGGAATATAGACTTTGCTCTGTAGGCAATGGAGAGCAAAACATGTCTGAGAAGCAAGTTCTTGGAATTGGGAAGGGTGGATATATCAAAAGGACTGGCTGCAGCACTTTACGAGACCTGAGAAGAGGCTATAGTTACCGTAGCGACTGGTGTAGTAGTTCCTTGCATGTCCCACTTTCTTACCTGGATAACTGAAGTCGCCTTCTAACCTGTCCCTCTCTTTGCACTTTACTCCCTTAAAATCCATTTCTACTCGCAGATAAACTGATATTTTAATTTCAATTTTGTTATGTTAAATATTAGATTTTAAAATAACCTATTTGTTATCAATGCCCAATTATATACCCTCACATAATTAAATTCCTCCATACTCAGGCATATATGAACATATATACCAGAGTAACGTTTTTGTTGGGGGGTGGGGTTGTTTGTTTGGTTTTGGTGGCTTTTTGGTTGTTTGTTTTCTGAGACAGGGTATTACTCTGTCGCCCAGGCTGGAGTGCAGTGGTGCAATCTCAGCTCACTGCAACCTCTGCCTCCCAGGTTCAAGTACTTCTCCTGCCCCAGCCTCCCAGGTAGCTGGGATTACAGGCGTGTTCCACCACGCCTGGCTTTTTTTTTTTTTTTTTTTTTCCCTGAGGCTGAGTCTTGCTCTGTTGCCCAGGCTTGAGTACAGTGGCACGATATCAGCTCACTGCAACCTCTGCCTCCCGGGTTCAAGTGATTCTCCTGCCTCAGCCTCCCAAGTAGCTGGAATTACAAGCGTGCGCCACCAAGCCTGGCTAATTTTTGTATTTTTAGTAGAGACGGGATTTCACCATGTTAGCCAGGCTGGTCTAGAACTCCTGACCTCGAGTGATCTACCCGCCTTGGCCTCCCAAAGTGCTGGGATTACAGGCATGAGCCACCACACCTGGCCTGAATCATATTACTTATTTTCTTGAAACCCTCCAGTGGTTTACTGTTTCAGTTGGAAAAAATCATAACTCCATCCTATGTTTCACGAGGCCTATGGTCTGGTCCCTACCTTCCTTCTTCATTTCCTGACCCTCCTCCTTGGTTCAGCCATGTTGTACCTTATTCGTGCCAAACTTATTCTTTCAGGTCTTTGTATTTACTGTTCCTTGTGCCAGGACTTTGTGCCCCTGCCCATTTTATTGTCTTTTAATTTCATTTTTTATTTTTTATTTTTAAATTTTTTCCAAATCCCTGCCCCACTCCCATTTCATTGTCTTTAAATAGCTAGTGCTTTCTTGTTATTGAGGTCACAGTCCTTGGTGAGCCCCTCCCCAGTGGCTCAGTCTTTGTTAGCCATTCACCCAAAGTTGACAGCAAACAGTTATCCTGTTTTACTTCAGTCATAGCATTTATGTATTTATTTGTATAAATTTAAGGGGTACAAGTGCAGTTTTGTTACATGGATATATTGCCTGGTTGTGAAGTCTGGGCTTTTTTTTTTTTTTTTTTTTCGAGATGGAGTTTTGCTCTTGTTGCCCAGGCTGGAGCGCAATGGCGCTATCTCGGCTCACCGCAGTCTCCGCCTCCCGAGTTGAAGTGATTCTCTGCCTCAGCCTCCCGAGTAGCTGGGATTATAGGCATGCGCCACCATGCCCGGCTAATATTTTCGTATTTTTAGTAGAGACGAGGTTTCTCAATGTTGGTCAGGCTGGTCTAGAACTCCCGACCTCAGGTGATCTGCCTGCCTCGGCCTCCCAAATTGCTGGGGAAGTCTGGGCTTTTAATGTAACCAACCATCACCCAAATAATGCACTTGTACCTGTTAGGTAATTTTTTATTCCTCACCATCCTCCCACCCTTCCCAATCTCCAGTGTCTATTATTCCACACTCCCTGTGTCCATGTGTACACAGTATTTAGCTCCCACTTATAAGTGAGGACATGCAGTATTTCACTTCCTGTTTCTGAGTTGTTATAACATTTATTACTGTTTGAATAAATTTTGTTCATTTATTTATTTATTGTATTTCCTCCCCTAGAATGTAAATTTTAGGAGGGCAAATGAGTATATTCTCAGCATCTAGAACCATGTCTGGTACATAGATGCATAGAGATGCTCAAATATTTGTTGAACGAAAATGAATGAGAGATATATGTTGTCACTGGGGGTAAAGAAGAGGGGAGAGAGATTAAGGAAAGAGGTTTACTGGGACTGGGAGACTGCCAAGGAAGTAGAGCCTATTTTCATTAGAAGCTGCCGCCTCTACTCTTTCTCTTTGGCTTTCATGTTCCTACCCTGGCTGAGGAGTAAGCTATAGTCATTACAGCACCCTTTTCTTTTTCTTTCTTTCTTTTTTTTTTTTTTTTTAAGACAGAGTCTCGTTCTGTCACCCAGGCTGGAGTGCAGTGGCGTGATCTCGGCCCGCCGCAACCTCCGCCCCCTGGGTTCAAGCGATTCTCCTGCCTTAGCCTCCCAGGTAGCTGGGATTACAGGTGTGCGCCACCACACCTGGCTAATTTTTTTATATTTTTCCACTCCTGGCTAATTTTTTTGCATTTTTAGTAGAGACAGGGTTTTACCCTGTCCAGGCTGGTCTCGAACTCCAGACCTCAAGTGATCCTCCTGCCTCAGCCTCCCCAAGTGCTGGGATTACAGGCATGAGCTACCGAGCCTGGCCCAGCACCCTTTTCTTGCTGCTACAAAGACTAGCCTATGAGCCTTTTAGGTTTTCACTGTTTTTACCATTTAACTTCATGAGAGATTCCAAAACTAGCAAAGTTTCAATCATGGAAGTCAGTGGATACTTGGGCGTGGCTGACAGGGAGCAGAAGGGCTGGTGAGTGGTAGAGCCAATGCAGGGGCTGAGGTCTCCCCAAGCCATGCATTGCTCAGTCCATGGCTGTGGGGAGACAATGCCATTTGTAGGAATGGCTAAACACCACCTACATTCTTTGTGGTAAGGCCAACTTGCCACACATCAGGAGGACAGGGGCTGTCTTAAAAGACATCACCTGGCCTGCCACACCTGGGCACCCCCTACCCCCAAGTCCCCACTGCGAGCAGCAGCCCCAGACATGAAGAACAACCCTTGCCCTCTTCTCGCAGGTTGCTATCGGCTGGTGGACTATTTGGAAGGGATCCGGAAGAATTTTGATGAGGCTGCCAAGGTGTTGAAGTTTAACTGTGAAGAGAACCAGCACAGTGATAGCTGCTACAAACTGGGGGCCTACTATGTGACTGGAAAAGGTAAGGAGGGCCTGCCTTTTGGGTCCTTGTCATTGATAGCAGTGCTGGCCTCACACCTGAGCCCCATGATAAGCTCTTGCAGAAGGGTCTCGCAGGCATTGGGAAAGTGCATTGTAGGAAGATGGAGAGGTAGGAGTTCAGCAGAGTGATGGGGGGAAGAACACAGCCTTTCAAGTTAGGTAAACCTTAGGGAATGCTATTGGCAAGTAGTGGGACCTTGAGCCAATCACTTCGACTCTGTGCCTCAGTTACATCACCTGTAAATTGGAGGGAAATAGTACTTGCTTTGTAGGGTGGTGAGGATTAAGTAGGACAGCATAGGAAAAGGCATCAGCATGTGCTTGGCACAGAGTAAGGGGTCAGTAATTATTGTCTTCCTTCTGTCTTTTCTCCTTGTACTCTAATTGTAGTTATCACTGGCATAGTGTTTACATTATCTATGGCTAAATAACAAAATAGTTATTTTTGTTCACCTCAATAGTTTCTGTGGGTCAAGAATTTGGGAGTGGTTTAGTGGGGGTACCTCAGGGTATCTCATGAGGTTATAGTCAAGACATTGGCCAGGGAGCCAGGGCTGGAGACATTGGAAGGCTTGACTGAAGTTGGAGTTTCCAATTCTAAGATGACTCACTCTGATGGCTGGTAGCAGAGGCCTCTAGTTCCTTACCAGCTGTTATTGGGAGAGCTCAGATCGTCATGACATGGTTCGCTCCATGGGCTGCTTGAGTGTCCTCATGACATGGCGTCTGGGTTCCCCCAGAGTGAGTAATTTAAAGGAGACAACAAGATAGAATCCACAGTGTCTTCTATGACCTATCTTTGGAAGTCACACACTTTTCATTTCTATCACATATTTATTAGATGTAGCCTACACTAAGGGGAAGGACTTAAATTCCACTTCTTGAAGAGGAAGGAATATTAAAGAACTTATGGACATATTTAAAACCACCACAGGCCAGGCACGGTGGCTCATGCCTGTAATCCCAGCACTTTGGGAGGCCAAGGCGGGTGGATCATGAGGTCAGGAGTTCAAGACCAGCCTGACCAACATGGTGAAACCCCATCTCTACTAAAAATACAAAAAAAAATTAGCTGGGCGTGGTGGCGCGCACCTGTAATCCCAGCTACTCAGGAGGCTGAGGCAGGAGAATCACTTGAACCCTGGAGGCAGAGGTTGCAGTGAGCTGAGATCGCGCCACTGCACTCCAGCCTGGGCAACAGAGCAAGACTCTGTCTCACAAAAAAAAAAAAAAAAACACACACACACATAAATAAGTAATAGGACCTTTGACAGGCAGCTTTTTTTTTTTTTTGTGACAGGATCTTGTTCTGTTTCTCAGACTGGAGTGCAGTGATAAAATCATAACTCACTGCAGCCTTGAGCTCCTGGGCTCAGGCAATCCTCCTGCCTCAGCCTCCCCAGTGGCTGGAACTATAGGCACGTGCCCCCATGCTTAGCTAATTTTTTATTTTTTGTAGAGACAGGATCTCACTATGTTGTCAGGCTGGTCTCAAACTCCTGGCCTCAAGCAATCCTTGCACCTTGGCCTCTCAAAGTGCTAGGGTAAGGTGTGAGCCACTGCACCTGGCCAAGGATGTCTTTTTTTTTTTGAGACAGGGTCCCGAGACAGGGTCCCACTCTGTCGCCCAGGCTGGTGTGCAGTGGCATGATCTCGGCTCACCACAACCCCCTGGCTCAAGTGATTCTCCTGCCTCAACCTTCCGAGTAGCTGGGATTACAGGGGCGTTTGCCACTACCACCCAGCTAATTTTTGTATTTTTAGTAGAGATGGGGTTTCGCCATGTTAGCCAGGCTGGTCTTGAACTAACCTCAAACGATCCACCCGCCTTGGCCTCCCAAAATGCTGGGATTACAGGTGTGAGCCACCGTGCCTGGCCCCATTTTAATTTTTTAAACTAAATTTTAGGCCAGGTGCAGTGGCTCACTTGAGCCCGGGAGGTGGAGGCTGCAGTGAGCCGAGATTGCTTCACTGCACTCCAGCCTCGGCCACAGAGCAAGACTCTGTCTCTAAATAAATAAATAAATAAATAAATAAATGTAAATAAATGAAAATAAAAATGATTCTAACCTTTTAATATTTTTTCTAAACTCTTGATAGCCCTAGTGGCTCATTTAGGAAATGTCACTATGGGCTAGAAATATTAATTTGTAGGTCAGCAGTTTCCTTAGTTTCACTTCAGTTTGGTTTTCTTCTGATAAATTCAAGTAAAATCAAAGTTAAATTTTTTACTTACAAGTAGCATTTGTGATCCAATTTTTCCAAACACTTCTATCTAGTATCCATTCAACCAGCCAGCATTTAATCTGAACACATGCTACAAAGATGACTGGAATGGTGTTCACTTAATGATAATGATGGTTATTTCTAGGTGGATTTGGAATGGTTACTTAAAAGAATAATGTTAAAATGTTTATATTTTTTGAGATTGAGTAATGGTACATGGAGATTTGAAGTTTTGCACACACACAAACAACTAAAAAAAGTGAGCCCTGCCACCACTTCTACTTAAAATTATTTGTTAGTGATTTCCCATTGTTTTTAAGATTAAATTCAGGGGTCTTAATGTGACCCTGCATGATCTGGTCCCTGCTTGCTTGCCTGCCTTGCACTATACTTTTCCTCCATGCTCTTTTTACACTTAAAATCATCTTTTTTTTTTTTTTCTTTTTTTTTTTTTGAGACAGAGTTATGCTCTGTCATCTAGGCTGGAGTGCAATGGCGCGATCTCTGCTCACTGCAAGCTCCACTTCTGGGGTTCATGCCATTCTTCTGCCTCAGCTTCCTGAGTGGCTGGCATTACAGGCCCCTGCCACCATGCCCAGCTCATTTTTTTTGTATTTTTAGTAGAGATGGGGTTTCACCATGTTGGCCAGGCTGGTCTCGAACTCCTGACCTCGTGATCCACCCGCCTCAGCCTCCCAAAGTGCTGGGATTACAGGCGTAAGCCACCGCGCCCAGCCTGATTTTTGTATTTTTGTAGAAATGGGGTTTTACCATGTTGGCCAGGCTGGTCTTGAGCCTCCTGATCTCAGGTGATCCGCCCACCTCGGCCTCCCAAAGTGCTGGGATTACAGGCGTGAGTCACCACGCCTGGCCTCCTGTGTATTTTAAATCAATTACTTAGAACAGGGGTATTCAATCTTTTTGCTTTCCTGGACCACATTGGAAGAAGAGTTGTCTTGGGCCATATATAAAATACAGTAATGATAGCTGATGAGCTTAAAAAAAAAATCACAAAAAAAATCTCATAGGCCAGGTGAAGTGGCTCACGCCTGTAATCCCAGCATTTTGGGAGGCTGAGGCGGGCGGATCATGAGGTCAGGAGTTCAAGACTAGCCTGACCAACGTGGTGAAACCCCGTCTCTACTGAAAACACAAAAATTAGCCTGGCGTGGTGGCATGCACCTGTAATCCCAGCATTTTGGGAGGCTGAGGCAGGAGAATCGCTTGAACCCTGGAGGCAGAGGTAGCAGTGAGCCAAGATCACGCCACTGCACTCCAGCCTGGGCGACACAGCAAGACTCCATCTCAAAAAAAAAAAAATAATAATAATAATAATTTCATAATGTTTTAAGAAAGTTTATGAATTTGTGTTAAGCCGCTTTCAAAGCCATCCCAGGCCCATGGGTTGGACAATCTTGACTTAGACTATCTAATACAATGTAAATACTGAGTAAATAATTGTTCTATTTTATATATTTTGTATTTTTTAATTGTATTGTTATTTTTTCCCTAATATTTTTGATGTGTGGTTGGTTGAACCCATGGATATGGAGGGCCCACTGTATGTTTAAATTAATAAACAATTAAGTGCTTGTCATATGCCATGTTCTCACTGTAACCCCATGAGGTAGATATTATTATCATTCCCAATTTTCACCTCCTTTACCTGTTTGAGTTTCCTCATAAGGTATCATCTGAATAAAAGATTCTACGGCTGAGAAAGCTAGGAGGTCTGTGCACTATGCCAGGCTACCTTTCATGCTGCCTGAGCTCATAGTATGGACATTTTTTTTTCTTTTTGAGGTAAAGTCTTGCTCTGTCACCCAGGTTGATCTCGAATTCCTGGCCTCAAGCAATCATCCTGCACAAAGTGCTAGGATTACAGGTGTGAGCCACTGTGCTCAGCCTTAAACTTTATTCAGGAATTGTTGTTGGCCAGGTGTGGTGGCTCACGCCTGTAATTCCAGCACTTTGGGAGGCCAAGGTGGGAGGATCGCTTGAGTCCCAGAGTTTAAGACTAGCCTTGGCAACATAGTGAGATCCTTTCTCTACAAAAAAATTTAAAAATTAGCCAGGCATAGTGGTTGGTGTGTGCCTGTAGTCCCAGCTACTTGGGGAGGCTGAGATGGGAAGATTGCTTTAGCCGGAGGTTGAGGCTGCAGTGAGCCGTGATCATGCCAGTGCACTCCAGCCTGGTTAACAAAGCAAGACCCTTTCTCCAAAAAAAAAAAAAAAATTCACTGACTTTGGCCTGAGACATTTAGGTTGTGCCCTGGCTTGGGTTTATTTTTTCCTACTTTCCTTCCTCTCAGGTGGTCTGACCCAGGACCTGAAAGCTGCCGCCAGGTGCTTTTTGATGGCGTGTGAGAAGCCTGGAAAGAAGTCAATAGCAGCATGTCACAACGTTGGCCTCCTGGCACATGATGGACAGGTTAATGAGGATGGCCAGCCTGACTTGGGAAAGGCCAGGGACTACTACACAAGGGCCTGTGATGGTGGCTATACTTCCAGTTGCTTCAACCTCAGTGCCATGTTCCTGCAGGGTGCCCCAGGCTTTCCCAAGGACATGGACCTGGCATGTAAATACTCCATGAAAGCCTGTGACCTGGGTCATATCTGGGCCTGTGCCAATGCCAGTCGCATGTACAAGCTGGGGGATGGTGTTGATAAGGATGAGGCCAAGGCCGAGGTGCTAAAAAATCGAGCCCAGCAGCTACACAAAGAACAGCAGAAAGGTGTCCAACCCTTAACATTTGGGTAATGTGGTCCACCCTCCCTCCCAGGCAACAAACTGCTTGAGGCTGGCAGCTCCTGTTTCTGAAGACTGATGCAGCCCTTGAAGGTCAACCTGCTGGAGCAAAAAAACTTGGGACTTGAATTTGTAGCTCCATTTACATGGATCCATTGCCCCAGCTACTGGAGTATAGCCTACAATGTTTATTTCAGTCAATATTCCTTTATCTGGGTGTTCTGTACAATGTTTATTACAGTCAATATTCCTTCATCTGGATGTTCTGTGAAGATAGCCATGTTTATGGGGGTCTTAGTTTTCAAACTCTGGCAACTCTGTGAAAAATAGGAGCAAACTAGAGAGCCCTGGAGATTGGTAGTAGGGAAGGGAGGATAGCAGGAAGTTTGAAAAATTAGCAGCCCCGGGGCCTAAAGGAATCAGCTGTCATCATTTTCATCATTATTATTTTGGTTAGGATGGCTTGAAAATCAGAACGTATCTTGGTTTACGTAATTGAGGTCTTAAAGAACTAAGAACAGTTAAATAGTCACAACTACCACCCTCTGACTTACATAATCATTGGTGTGGGCTTCGTTTTGCCTTTAGAGTCACATCTTTCAGTAAATTCACAGAGATCAAGAGGGACGTGCAACATACAGCTTAAAGGCTGTTATGCTTCAGGGTTGCTGAAGAAGATGAAACATCAGCCTGCCATCGTCTAGAAGAGACATTGGCAGTTAAAAATTAGCACCTCCAGTGTAGTCGCCTGGCACTGCCCATCATGCTGAGGGAGCAGATTCTTCCCAAGGCAGCTTCAGCTAGGAGTTTGTAAGCAAGGACTTTGTGACACATTTGTCCCCTGGAACTGAGCCTTTTTAACTGTCCCTGTGAATGAACAATTTTGAGTGACCTACGGTTTGTGTTAATTAGTGTTCTTTCCAGATTCCAGGTACCGTAGAGAGTATGTTCTTTGTGGTGGTTGTGCCTTTTAAGAACATTTGTGGCCGGGCACGGTGGCTCACGCCTGTAACCCCAGCACTTTGGGTGGCCAAGGCGGGTGGATCACGAGATCAGGAGATCATGACCATCCTGGCTAACACGGGGAAACCCCATCTCTACTAAAAAATACAAAAAATTAGCCGGGCGTGGTGGCAGGCGCCTGTAGTCCCAGCTACTGGGGAGGCTGAGGCAGGAGAATTGCTTGAACCCGGGAGGCGGAGCTTGCAGTGAGCTGAGATTGCGCCACTGCCCTCCAGCCTGGGCGATAGAGTGAGACTCCGTCTCAAAAAAAAAAAAAAATTTGCTTTTTCTGTTGTCTCCCCAGCTTGTCACCAGGGGGCGAGCTTGCCATTTCCCTGCTGGTAACAATACCATTCTGTCACCATCTACTGTTTTAGGCTTCCGTTTTGCAGCCGTCCTGAAAGGAAGGCTTGCTGTGTAAATGAAGGCTTGTGAGCACAGCAGCCAGCCTCTCAAGTTGATAGAGGACAGGGACTTCCCCAAGTGCACAGAGGAGATTTCAAAAGACATCAAATTCACTTTTTAAAAATGTAAAGTAGCTTTTGGTGTGCTTAAACTAGGTCAGGCCAGGCGTGGTGGCTCATGCCTGTAATCCTAGCATTTTGGGAGGCCAAGGCAGGTGGATCACTTGAGGTCAGGAGTTCGAGATCAGCCTGGCCAACATGACGAAACCCCTTTCTCTACTAAAAATATAAAAATTAGCTGGGCGTGGTGATGCATACCTGTAATCCCAGCTACTTCGGAGGCTGAGGCAGGAGAATCACTTGAACCTGGGAGGCAGAGGTTGCAGTAAACTGAGACTGTGCCACTGCACTCCAGCCTGGGCAACACAGCAAGACTCTGTCTCAAAAACAAAAACAAAACTAGGCCAGGTGCAGTGGCTCACGCTTGCAATCCCAGCACTTTGGGAGGCCGAGGCAGGCGGATCACGAGGTCAGGATTTCGAGAACAGCCTGGCCAACATAGTGAAACCTCGTATCTACTAAAAATACAAAAATTATCTGGGTGTGGTGGTGGGCACCTGTTGTCCCAGCTATTCAGGAGGCTGAGGCAGGAGAATCGCTTGAACCCAGGAGGTGGAGGTTGCAGTGAGCCAAGACCATGCCATTGCACTCCAGCCAGGTAACAGAGTGAGACTCTGTCTCAAAAAAACACACACACACACACACACAAAACTGTAGGTCAAAAAACATGAAAATATGTTCAACATCACTAATTAGGGAAATGTAAATCAAAAACCACAATGAACTCTTAAAATTCAACAGTAAGAAAACAACCTGATTAAAAACAGGCCAAAACCCTTAACATATCTCAGCAAAGAAGATAGACAGGTGGCAAATAAGCATATGAAAAGATGTTCCATATAACATGTCATCAGGAAAATGCAAGTTAGAACAACAGACCACTATACAACTATTAGAATGGCCAAAATCCAAAGCACCGACAGCATGAAATGCTGGGAAAGTTGGAGCAACCAGAACTCTTATTCCTTGCTGGTGGGAACGCAAGATGGCACAGCCACTTTGGAAGACAGTTAAGCAGTTTCTTACAAAAACTAGGTAAGCTCTTACCATGTGATCCAGCAATCTTGCTCTTTAGTATTTACCTGAAGGAACTGAAAACATGTCCACACAAAAACCAGCACATGGATGTTTATAGCAGCTTTATCTATAATTGCCAAAACTCAACCCAAAATGTCTTTCAGTAGGTAAATGGGTAAATAAATTGTGGTGCATGTAGTCATTATTCAGTGCTTAAATCAAGCTATGACAAATTATGAGTTATCAAGCTATAAGAAGTCACAGAGGAACTTAAATGAATGCTACTAAATGAAGCCAGTCTGAAAAGGCTTCATATTAAATGATGCCAACTATATGACACTGGGATGTATTCTGGAAAAGGCAAAACTATGGAGACAGTAAAAAGCAGTGGGTGGGGGAGGGGAGGGAGGAATAATTGGAGCACAGAAGATTTTTAGGGCAGCGAAACTACTCTGTATGATACTATAATTATAAATACCTGTCATTGTACATATGTCCAACCCCCTAAAATGTACAACACCAAGAGTGAACCCTAATGTAAACTGTGGACTTTGAGTGATAATGATGTGTCAGTGTAGGTTCATCAATTACTGCAAATGTACCTCTTTGGTGGGAGATGTTGAAAATGGTGGAGACTATGCATGTGTGGGGACAACAACTATATGGGAAATCTCTGTACCCTCTCAATTTTGCTGTAAACCTAAAATTGCTCTAAAATATAAAGTCTATTAAAACCACAATGATATTGCCTCATATCCCATTAGGATGGCTACTATTAAACACCAAAACAAAGTAAGTGTTGTCAAGGATACAGAGAAATTAGAACCCTGTGAACTGGTGCAGCTCCCCCAAAATGAAAAACAGAATTGCCGTTTGATCCAGCCATTCCACTTCTGGGTACATATCTGTGTTAGGCCATTCTTGCATTGCTATAAAGAAATACCTGAGACTGGGTAATTTATAAAGAAAAGTTTAATTGGCTCAGGAAGCATGGTGCTGTGCATCCTATTGGCTTCTGGTGAGGCCTCAGAAGCTTACAGTCATGGTGGAAGGCACAGGGGGAGTCAGTGTATCACATGGTGAGAAGGCAAGAGCAGGAGCAAGAGAGTGAGCAAGGGGAGATACCACACACAAATCTCCTGAGGACAGCACCAAGGGGAGGGTCCTAAACCATTCATGAGAAATCCTCCCCATGATCCAATCACCTCCCACCAAGCTCCACCTCCAACATTGGGGATTAAATTTCAACGTGAGATTTGGGGGACAAGTATCCAAACTATTAATATCCAAAAGAATTGAAAGCAGGGTCTCCAAGAGGTATCTATACCCATATTCTTAGCAGCACTATTCATAGTAACCAAAGGGTAGAAGGAACCCAAATGCCCATCAGCAGATGAATGAATACACAAAAGGCGAGATGTACATGCAATGGAATATTATTCAGCCTTGAAAAGGAAGGAAATTCTGACACATGCCACAAAACATGGCTGAATCTTGAGGACATCGTGCTAAGAGAGTCACAAAAAGACATGCTGTATAAGCCAGTCACAAAAAGACATGCTGTATATGAGGCATCTAAACTTGGGTATGAGTTGTATATAAACTCAGAAACAGAAAGTAAAATGGTGGCTGCCAGGGGCTGGGGTGAGGAGGAAATGAGTTTTTTGTTTTTGTTTTTGTTTTGAGATAGGCTCTTGCTCTGTCGCCTAGGCTGGAGTGCAGTGGCACTATCATAGCTCACTGCAGCCTCTAACTCCTGGGCTCAGGTCATCCTTCCACCTCAGCTTCCCAAGTAGCTGGGACTACAGGTACACACCACCACGCCCAGCTAGTTTTTGTATTTTTTGTAGAGACGAGGTTTTGCCATATTGCCCAGGCTGGTCTTAAACTCCTGAGCTCAAGTGATCTTTCCGCCTCGGCCTCCCAAAGTTCTGGGATTATAGGTGTGAGCCACCATGCCTGGCCAAAATGGGTTGTTTAATAGGTAAAGAGTTTCAAATTTGTAAGATGAAAAAATAATGGAGATTGTTACACATCAAATGTGAATATACTTAACACTACTGAACTATATGTTTAAAAATGGTTAACCCAGCCTGGCTTACATGGTGAAACCCTCTCTCTACTAAAGATACAAAAATTAGCTGGGCGTGGTGGCATGCGCCTGTAGTCCCAACGACTCAGGAGGCTGAGGCACGAGAATCACTTGAACCTGGGAGGTGGAGGTTGCAGTGAGCTGAGATTGCACCACTTCACTCCAGCCTAGGCAACAGAGTGAGACTCCATCTCAAAAAAAAAAAAAAAAAAAAAAAAAAAAGAGGTTAACATGGTAAATTTTATGTTTTACCACAATTTAAAAAAAAAACATATTGACTTTTTAAAAATGCAAGGTTTGAAGTTTTTTTATTATAAAATTAGTATGTTCTCATAAAATGCAATTTGAAACAGAAGAAACCATCACCCCTCACTATTCTTTTATCACCTATGGGCATTCTTTGGCACAATAGCGTTCTCACTATTTAACCATTTTTTTAAAGAATCATATCTTTTTTTTTTTTTTTTTTTTTTTGAGATGGTGTCACCCAGGCTGGAGTGCAGTGACGTGATCTCAGCTCACTGCAACCTCCACCTCCCAGGTTCAAGTGATTCCCCAGCCTCAGCCTCTTGAGTAGCTGGGACTACAGGCGAGCGCCACCACAGCCGGCTATTTTTTGTATTTTTAGTAGAAATGGGGTTTCACCATGTTGATCAGGCTGGTCTCTAACTCCTGACCTCAGCTGATCCACCCACCTTGGCCTCCCAAAGTGCTAGGATTACAGGCATGAGCCACTGTGCCCTGCCAAGAATCATATCTTTTCAACTAACAGGTTTTGTAATTTTTTTTTTTCTTTTTGAGATAGGGTCTCTCTGTGTCACCTAGGCTGGAGTGCAGTGGTGCAATCATAGCTCACTGCAGCCTCAACCTCCTGGGCTCAGGTGATCCTCCTACCTCAGTCTCCCAAGTAGCTAGGGACTACATGTGCGTGACACCATGCCCAGTTAGTTTTCATGTTTTTTGTAGATATGGGGTCTCGCTGTGTTGCCCAGGCTGGTCTCAAACTCCTGGGCTCAAGCGATCCTCCTGCCTCAGCCTCCCAACATGCTAGGATTACAGACATGAGCCACTTGCCCCACTGGGTTTTGTAATTTTGAAGAACTAAGTTTGATTTTTGGGTGGCAGATGTACTGGATTTTTTTTTTGAGATGGAACTTCACTCTTGTTGCCCAGGCTGGAGTGCAATGGCATGATCTCAGCTCACCGCAACCTCCGCCTCCCGGGTGCAAGCAATTCTCCTGCCTCAGCCTCCTGAGTAGCTGGGATTACAGGCATGTGCTACCACACCCGGCTAATTTTGTATTTTTAGTAGAGACAGGGTTTCTCCATGTTGGCCAGGCTGGTCTCGAACTCCCGACCTCAGATGATCCACCTGTCTCGGCCTCCCAAAGTGCTGGGATTACAGGCGTGAGCCACTACACCCAGCCTTTTTTTTTTTTTTTATGGACGAGTTCCTACCTGGGACTTCTGGTACTTGCCTTCCTGAGTCACATACTTAGTGGGGCAGGGAACAATAGAGTGAGCATTAACTGTGTCAAAATGTTATATTTCCCTAAAGTTATTAAAATGCAAAGAATAATAATTTACTGTTCAGAATGGTCCAAGGCCATTTCATACCCAGGCTACTGTGGGAAGCAGTAGGTTGGTAAGAGCCAGCATGGATAAGTTTCTCACTTTAATGCAGCCTTTGAGGCAAGGTTTGAAAATCGCTTTTCAGACTCTGGTCACAGCAAGCAGTATCATTACTGTGTCTTCTAGCCAGCAGGCATTGGATCATCATTAACAACTATTTCCTACGTTTTTCCTCCATGCTAGGCTTGGGCTGGATACAGGACATTCAGAGCTGGCCTGATGGTCTGTCTAATGGGAAAGACGGTTCATAATTGACTCTGG
Organism: Homo sapiens; assembly: GCF_000001405.40. NCBI lineage: Eukaryota > Metazoa > Chordata > Mammalia > Primates > Hominidae > Homo > Homo sapiens. The sequence goes on along the minus strand of NC_000001.11, from coordinate 52,681,203 downwards.
CGGTTTGTGTTCTCACTAAAATCTTTTTTTTTTTTTTTGAGACACAGTCTCACTCTGTTGCCCAGGCTGGAGTGCAGTGGTGCGATCTTGGCTCACTGCAACCTCTGCCTCCCGGGTTTGAGAGATTCTCCTGCCTCAGGCTCCTGAGTAGCTGGGATTACAGGCCACCACGCCCAGCTAATTTTTGTATTTTTTAGTAGAGATGGGTTTCACCATTTCACTATGTTGGCCAGGCTGGTCTTGAACTTCCAACCTCAGATGATCTGCCTGCCTCTCCCTCCCAAAGTGCTGGGATTACAGGCGTGAACCGCTCTGCCCGGCCAATGCTCTCACTAAAATCTGACAGTATGGTGCTCAGTACTGTGAGGAAGGAAAGGAAGAGTCCCAGAGAGGGAAGGGAAAACCTGAGGGTATAGAGATTTGGCTTTTATCTTGTGGGTAATGCAGAGTCACGAAAGGGTTTTGATCAGGTTTGGAAATTAGAAAGATCATCCCCAGTGCAGAAAATGAATCACGGGGGAAAGACTGGAGGCAGGAAGACCAATGAGGAGATGGCTGCAGATGTCAAGGTGAGACATGGTGGGGCCTGAGCTAAGGCCTGTCAAGCAAGGAAGGGAGCACAGGTGAGAGGCCAGACAGCTGAATAAGCAAAATTGAGCCATGCGGGGGTGGGAAGAAGGTGGGGTTGAGCATGAGGTTGAAAAATATAAACCAAAACAGGTTTAGCTTGGGCATCTAGGTGGACAGTGGAGCTATTCATATTGATTTGGAGCCTGTGGTGTGGGGATGGGGACAAGAACTCTGAACTGTTGGGTGATTTTTTAAGTTTTATAAATAAATAGCATTTTTATTTGTTTTATGAAGTTGCTTGAAAAATTGTATGAAGGGCAGCGTGGCAGAGGGAAAATGCCTAGACTTCAGATCCTACAGATGTGGACAATTCTGGATTAGTCAAAGGCAGAATACGCATGTATATTTAGGACACCTAACAAAGAATGAGAAATATATACATTTAAAAATAGTAATGTTATATTCCTTTTTTTTTTTTTTTTTGAGACAGAGTCTCGCTCTGTCACCCAGGCTGGAGTGCAGTGGCTCGATCTTGGCTCACTGCAAGCTGCAAGCTCCGCCTCCCATTCTCCTGCCTCAGCCTCCCGAGTAGCTGGGACTACAGGCTCCCGCTACCATGCCTGGCTAATTTTTTGTATTTTTTTTTAGTGGAGATGGGGTTTCACCGTGTTAGCCAGGATGGTCTCGATCTCCTGACCTCGTGATCTGCCTGCCTCAGCCTCCCAAAGTGCTGGGATTACAGGCGTGAGCCACCGCTCTTGGCCTACATTTCTTTTAAAGCATCAAGTAATCACTTTGTGGGGGGAATGAAGACTTTTTTGGGTTCTTTATGTTCATTTTGCAGTTTAGATCTCTTTTATTGTGAATTCTATATTAGGGTTGGTGGGGGCGGGGTGTACCAGACTATTTTCAGTTCTTAGGTCTAAAGGTCTTAGCCTGGGTTCTGACCTGAGTTTTGCTTTTTATTGGCTGTGTGACCTTAGACAAGTTACTCTACCCTCTTTTCGGATTTTGTCACCTCTCAGGTGGGGATAACAATGTCTTCTAGTAGGGTTGTTAGGAGGAGTAAATAGTAACTCTTATCGTAGAATGATAAATGCTGATTTAAAAAGACTTTTGTGGAATGAAATCTTACAATTAGATAATTGTCTTTTTTCTGAGTGGTATTGTTACCTTGTGAGGGAGTCTAGCTTTTAAAACAGCCTGCCTTTGCTGCCATTCTTTGAATATCCAGGGAGCTGACGGTGAGGCTCTCCAGGGGTACTGATGGCACAAAACAGCTGCAGGGGGCATGCCTGGGGCAGGGGAAAAGTAGGGGGCTGCCCCTACTTTTTCCCTTCTCCACTGCCTGAGCACAGAGTCACTGAGAAGACTTGCACCTGCTGGGGGCCCAGAGTGGAAACTATTCCCAGCTGGTGCCCCTCCCCAGGCTTGAGGAATGGTGATTGTATTACAGTTTATAAATCAGGCCTCCCCACTGTCTAAAGGGGAAAGGCCAAAATTCTTTGCCCAGTGTGTCTCCCCACTCCCATGAGATGATCCCTGCCTCCATATTTAGCCCCATCTTATTCCTAACTCAGGCATCTTTGCATCAGGGAACTGCTTGTGGTCTCTGCACCACCTGCCCCACCCCCAAAATATCCCTATCTCTCTCTCTCTCTCACACACACACACACACACACAGAGAGAAATTAAGTGGTGATGGATGCGTTCATTAATTTGACTATAGTAATCAGTACACAATGTATATCAAATCATCACACTGTATACCTTGAATATATACACTTTTTGTTTATCCATTAAATATTTTAAAAGAAAAAGTAACAACAAAATACCCAGGCTGTTTCTTACAGCCAAGCTTTTGCTGATGTCTGGGTCCACCAAGACCTACGGAATGAAAATCTGGATTTTAAATAAGAAAACCACGGGAAATTCTTATTCATACTAAAATGGGCAGCCCACTCAAGTGGTGTAAAGCCGCAGCTCCTTAGCTTGTCACTACAACCCCTCTGCAGTCTGGTCTCCACACCTTCAGCTCTTTACAATTCCTAATAGTCCTTTAAAACTTAGCCCACATGTCACCTCCTCCAGGAAGTCATCCTGGACCCTCAAGTTCCGTGGTCTTCTGATAGTCCTTGTGCTTCTCTCAGTTCTTTCTTTCCTTTTTTAAAATTTAGTGGGTTTTTTTGTTTTTGTTTTTTTTTTGAGACAGAGTCTCACTCTGTTGCCCAGGCTAGAGTGCAATGGCATGATCTCGGCTCACTGCAACCTCTGCCTCTCAAGTTCAAGCGATTCTCCTGCCTCAGCCCCCCAAGTAGGTGGGATTACAGGCACCTGGCATCCTGCCTAATTTTTGTATTTTTAGTAGAGATGGGCTTTTGCCATGTTGGCCTGTTGGCCAGGCTGGTCTCGAACTCCTGGCCTCAAGTGATCCATCTGCCTTGGCCCCCCAAAGTGCTGGGATTACAGGCGTGAGCCACTTCGTCCAGGCTTAATTTGATTTTTTAAAAACAGAGACAAGTTCTCACTATGTTGCCCAGGTTGGTCTCAAACTTCTGAACTCAAGCGATCCACCTGCCTCAGCCTCCCAAAATGATGGCACTACTATGCCCAGCCTGTCTCTGTCCTTTTCACATGGTTTGGGACAGGCTGTTAAGTGCCTGTCCCAATAGATTATGTCCTAATAGATTATGTCTCATTTCTATTCCCTGTGCCTAGCTCAGGATCTGGTACAGATGAGATACATAATAAATCTTTATTGAAGGAAAGGGAAGGGAAGGGAAACTCTCAGAGACAAATGCTATCTTCCAGTAGATCAACTGAGCATTGAAAAGGTAGCGTTTTGGAAAAGAATCTGGATTTAAATAATTTCTCTGCAAATGTGTTATGTTTCCTCTATGAGCCTCATTTTCCTCATCTCTAGAGTAAGGATAATGTTTACTTTTCAGGGTTAGTGTAAGGGTTAAAGGGTTTAATGAGATAAAGTAAGTGCAGTGCCTGGCTCGATGCCTGGCACATTCTAAATTGTGTAATAGCTCACTGGAGGGCTATCTTTCGGAAGCAGAACTAGGCTTGTTCTGTACAGCTCCAGAGAGCAGAACTAGGCCCAATGGATGGAAGCTGCTAGGAGACAGAACTCAGTTCATCGACATCTGAGTGGAAGAAAGCATTTTCTACTTGGCAGAATGAGAAGCTCTGGGAGGAGGTGAACTTCCTATTACAGGGATATGCAAGAAGAGAGGAGATGCTCGCCTGTCAGGGCTGATGCAGAGGGGACTAACTCTATATGAGATTTGGGTGGAGTGAGTATGCAAAACCTGAAAGATGGGAGCCAGATAAGGCATTTCCATTCAGTGCCCTCCATAATTCATTATTCATATGGTCAACACTGAGGGCTTCCTCTAGGCTGGGTGGCCCTAGGTTGGGCGCTGGGGATGCAGGGCTGGATTTGACAGAGTCTTTATCATTTAGGAAATTACAGTCTAAATTTTGATCATTTATTGAGCAACTACTTTGTACCAGATGCTCTAATCATCTCAGGAAACTTTCATTCTCACTGTTTTTCAAATAAACTGAGGCTCAGCCAAAGTGGCTTACAGAAAGACTCACAGACCAATGAGTATTGCAGCCGGGATTAGAACTTAGTCCTGCTTGTCTCCTAAACCCTCTTCATATGACTCAAGGCTGCCTCACATCCTGATGTTGGAAACACTTTGCAGTCTCAGGGAGACCCTCAAACAGCACCCGAGGACCTTTTGGGTACCAAGTAGATGCTGATGAACAGGAGCTAAAAGGCTAAGGTCAGCTGCAGGAGGACATGGACTCCCTGTAGCACGCTCTGTGCCCAAGTTCCCTCCAGCTGGGGCCATGCGGAGAGTCCAGGAGAACTTGCTGAGGTCAGACTTCACTGCTCACATGACCAGCCAAGCTGCCTGGGCCAGGGCTCCCTGAGGGAACTTGAAACCCGGCTGGGTTCCATCAGCTCCAAGAATAGCAGCTGACCCTACTCTCCCCAAGATGACGGTGTCCGATCAGGTTCCAGGAGGCCCCAGTGGACTCCAGACATCAGTGGCATCAAGCTTTGACCTTGAAGCTGCCCTGGGGTGGTGTAATAACAGCAACATTCATTAACTGCCCACTGTGTGCAGGGCGCCTCCTGAAGTGGGGAACATCCTGTAAGGGAGGTCTAAGTATGGAACCCATTTTACAGGTGAGGAAATTGGGGCTCAGAGATACTGAGAACTTACCCAAAGTCACAGTGAATATGCGGCAGAGCTGGGTTGGAGCCTGGGCTCCCTCTGCCAGTGACCCTGCTTCTGTGAGGAGAGAAGAGCACTCTCAAGACCTCAGAAGACTCCTGGGCAGAGGAGACAAATCCCATCAGCTTCTAAAGGAATGAAGGCAGGGTGCAGTGGCTCACATCTGCAATCCCAGCACTTTGGGAGCTGGGAGTCTGAGGCAAGAGGATCGCTTGAGCCCAGGAGTTCAAGACCAGCCTGAGCAACATAGTGAGACTTCATCTTTACAAAAAAACAAAAACCAAACAAACAAACAAAAAACAAATAAAGAAACTGAAATTAGCCAGGCATGGTGGTGTGCACTTGTAGTCCTGGCTACTTGGGAGGCTGAGGATCAGTAGAATCATTAGAATCCAGGAGTTCAAGGCTGCAGTGAGCCGAGGTTGTGCCAGTGCACTCCAGCCTAGGTGTCAAAGTGAGACCCTGTCTCTAATAAATAAATGAATAAAAAAAAAGTCGCAGGCCAGGCGCAGTGGCTCAGGCCTGTAATCCCAGTACTTTGGGAGGCTGAGGTGGGTGGATCACCTGAGGTCAGGAGTTCGAGACCAGCCTGGCCAACATGGCAAAACCTCATCTCTACTAAAAATACAAAAATTAGCCAGGCACGGTGGTGGGTGCCTGTGATCGCAGCTACTCGGGAGGCTGAGGCAGGAGAATCGCTTGAACTTGGGAGGCGGAGGTTGCAGTGAGGGGAGATCACACCATTGCACTCCAGCCTGGGAGACAAGAGTGAAACTCTGTATCAAGATTTGAGAGCATCAAATCTTGTGTTTCTAAGAGACACATGAGAGTGTCCTCAGGAAGGCAATGGAAGGTCCCAACTCTTAGTCTGGTGTTTGTACCACTAATCCACCAAACCTAGAGGGCTGCCTCTGACAAAAGGGGCCCGAGAGACGGTGGACAGCCTGAATCTTATAGCCAGTGAGGTTCAAGGCAGACTTACAGTTAATTGATGGACTTGAGGGCACAAGTGAGCTGTAACTCTCTTGGTGCTAAATGTTTTCTGTGTTTCTCTGGTGTACCAGGAACTTCCCAGGCTCAGCCTCCACATGAGCACATGGTGGGATGGGATGGTGGTGGGATGAGGTGATGAAGAACTGAAGATACAGGATGCTGCTAGGGCTGATTCATGGATGTGAGTCCTGCACATTTGCAAGGGCCCCATGCCGGGTTTAAGCCTCTACTATCACTGTCTTGAAATTCTTAACAATGTTGAACAAGGAGCCCTGCATTTTCACTTTGCACTGGACCCTGCAAATTATGTAGTTTATTTATGTAGCTGTTGGGCTCTGGGGTAGGAGGCAGCAGCCCCCGACCTGCAGTGCTCCTGGGACTTATCAGAGGCTTGTCAATCCATCAACCAATGGCTGAGTCACCAACAGACAGGAAGGAAGCCAGACTAAGCCCCACCAGACAGGTTTGGCCTGTAACTGCAAATCCCTAAGAGACTGTAACAAGGCAAGGCTCTAAGGAGATTCTGGGGATAGAATTGGAACCCATGGAGGAGGGGCATGGTCTGAGGGGGATTTTAACTCAGTGTCAGAAAGATTTTCCTAACAGTCAAAATGTAATCATAATACATAAAATATACCTCAATAAAGCTGTTGAAAATGTAATCATCTTACTGGCAACTGACATTGAGTGCTTACCGTGTGCAAGGAGCTGTGCTAAACACGTCATTGAAAATATGGAGGATAGGCTGGGCATGGTGGCTCACACCTGTAATCCCAGCACTTTGGAGGTGAAGGCAGGCAGATCATCTGAGGTCAAGAGTTCAAGACCAGCCTAACCAACATGGTGAAACCCCCGTCCCTATTAAAAATACAAAAAATTAGCCGGGCGTGGTAGCACACGCCTGTAATCTCAGGTAGACGAGAGGCTGAGGCAGGAGGATTACTTGAACCCAGGAGGTGGAGGTTGCAGTGAGCTGAGATGGCACCACTGCACTCTAGCCTGGGCAACAGAGCGAGACTCTGTCTCAAAAAAATAAAAAGAAAATATTGAGAGTGGTCAAGAAGAACATAGTTTCTGGAGCCATATTGCTCTACTGCTTATTAGCTGTGTGAGCTGGGGCAAGTTACTTGGCCTCTCTGTGTCTTAGTTTCATCATCTGGAAAATGAGGATAAGAATAATACGTCTCTCTCACAGGATTAAATTATTGTGAAGAATGGCCAGGCACAGTGGCTCTGTAATCTCAGCACTTTGGGAAGCGTAGGTGGGTGGATCGCTTGAGGCCAGAAGTTCGAGACCAGCCTGGGCAATATGGCAAAATCCCATCTCTACAAAAAATATGAAAACTGGCCAGGGATGGTGGTGCATGCCTATAGTCCCAGCTACGTGGGAGGCTGAGATGGGAGGATTGCTTGAGCCCAGGAGGTCGAGGCTGTAGTGAGCCAAGATCATGCCACTGCACTCCATTCTTGAGTGACAGAGTGAGACCCTATCTCAAAATTTTCTTGTGAGGATTAAATGAATTTACATATGTAAACACCTAGAACAATGTCTGACATATACTAAGTACCATATATAAGTTAGTTATTATTTAATCGTCAGAACAATCCTATGATGGAGGTATTATTATTATTTTACATTATTCCCATTTAACAGACAGGTAAACTGAGCCTTAGAAGAGGTAAGTGACTTGTTGATCCCAGAGTTATTGGGTGGTGGAGCAGGAGATTCTGCTATGGGAGTTAGGTCATACTTCACGATCGTCACGCCCAGTGCTTACACTAGAGCAGGCATCTGGTGAGTTTTTGTTAAGTTAATCAATTAATTATTATTTCTTTCAGCTCTGAGATTCTAAACCTGTAAGAAATGTGTGTTCTGGCCGGAGAAGGATGCAGGGACCTAGACATCTTAGGATTTCTTACCAATTGTTGGCCACAGCATAATCAAATATCAAGTATGTTCCACTCTAGGCCTTCTGAATTAATTGCCTGTTTGCTCCCTCTCCATCCCTGCAGGCACTGCCCAAGTTCTAGTCTCATCACCTCTCTGGACTCTGAATTCAGCAGCACTGTATCCTAACTCATGTCTCTCACATCTGCACAGCACTTCACAGTGTACAAAGTGCTTTCAAATTCAATGGTTTGTTGGTTGGTCTGTGTGGCAGACTTTGTGGCACACAGCTCAGTACTCATGCCAGGCCTCCAGACAGATCCCAGCCAGCCAGGGCTTCCTGCCTCAAGAGGCCAGAGCCGACTGCATGGGAACAGGGAGTGCAGTCTGGACATGCCATGTGGGGGTGCTTGTTGAGTTGTTGCTCTCTAGATGGAGTTTGAGGATTTTCTAAGCCAAAGCATGGAGTGAAAGGGGCCAGGCCCTCACCAGGGAATGTTCACTGCCACTCCTCACACTTACCAACTCAGATTCAAGACCCCTGCTTGGGGAGAAGTGGCTGAAGGCAGGCAGTCCTTCAGCTCCTCTACAAGTTTAAATAATATCCCAGCCGGCCGGGTACGGTGGCTCACACCTGTAATCCCAGCACTTTGGGAGGCCAAGGCAGGCGAATCACCTGAGGTCGGGAGTTTGAGACCAGTCTGACTAACACGGAGAAACCCCGTCTCTACTAAAAATACAAAATTAGCCTGGTGTGGTGGTGGATGCCTGTAATCCCGGCTACTCAGGAGGCTGAGGCAGGAGAATCACTTGAACCTGGCAGGCGGAGGTTGCAGTGTGCCAGGAGTTCGAGACCACCCTGGGCAACATAGTAAAACCCCTGTCTCTACAAAAAATACAAAAATTAGCTGGGTGTGGTGGTGCATGCCTGTAGTCCCAGCTACTTGGAAGGCTGATGTGAGAGGATCACCTGAGCCCAGGAGGTCGAGGCTGCAGTGAGCCATCTGCACTCCAGTCTGAGCAAGGACAGAGTAAGACCCCATCTCAAATATATACATATATAATATATGTGTGTGTGTATATATATATATATAAATATATATATAATATATAATATATATCTCCTGCATGCATCTGCAACTACAAAGGGCTAGTGTGCTAAACCTCATCCCTGCCACAGAATGCATTTTTCCCAAATTGCCATGAAGGATTATATGCAGGATTTTGTAGAAAATACAGTGGAGTGCCACTATATCTACCTTAAATACAGTAAGAGCAAACACTTATAGAGAGCTTACCCTGGATCAGGAACTGTTTTGAGTGCTTTATAAATATTAACTCTTTTGGCCGGGCATGGTGGCTCATGCCTGTAATCTCAGCACTTTGGGAGGCTGAGGCAGGCGGACCACCTGAGATCAGGAGTTCGAGACCAGCCTGGCCAACATTGTGAAACCCTGTCTCTACGAAAATACAAAAATTAGCCGGGCGTGGTGGCGGGAGCCTGTGATCCCAGCTATTCGAGAGGCTGAGGCAGGAGAATCATTTGAACCCAGGAGGCAGAGGTTGCAGTGAGCCAAGATCGCACCACTGCACTCTAGCCTGGGTGACAGAGCACAACTCCGTCTCAAAAACAAAACAAAACAAAACACAAAAACGTAGGTCTTTTAATTGTCACAACCCTATGAAATAGGTACTATTTCTCTTTAGTTTACAAAAACTCAATTATACTTGCTGTGGAGAAACTAGAGATGGAAAGAGAAAGAGTAATACTATATTAAATATTATTTTACTCATATACCATAGGCCCCAAGTGTGTCGTGAAAGAGGTAAATCTGCTGTTCCCCTCATTGGTCTCAGTTCCCAGGTGCCTCATAAAATCTTCAGTGTGTGTGCATGTCGCCATACTAAGTATGGGTCTAGTGTGTAAGTCCCCAAGCAAGCCAATCCCTTTATCAGTTATCCACCGAAGAAACAGCAATCTGTTCCATTGCTAGAGGAAAACTTGGCTATGCTATTGGGAGATGGTTCTGTACTTTAGGAGTGATAAAAGGGGTTTCCAAGGATAATTCTGATTATACATGATTTTTTTTTTTTTTGAGATGAAGTTTCACTCGTTGCCCAGGCTGGAGTGCAATGGCGCCATCTTGGCTCACTGCAACCTTTGCCTCCCGGGTTCAAGGGATTCTCCTGCCTCAGCCTCCTGAGTAGCTGGGATTACAGGCATGCGCCACCATGCCCGGCTAACTTTGTATTTTTAGTAGAGATGGGGTTTCTCCATGTTGGTCAGGCTGGTCTCGAACTCCTGGCCTCAGGTGATTTGCCTGCCTCGGCCTCCCAAAGCGCTGGGATTACAGGTGTGAGCCACCACGACCGGCCCCTAGATAAGTTTTGACTGAACTGTAACTCATAGATAAGGTGACCAACCTTCTCGATTTGCCCGTGACTAAAGAGTTTCCTGGGATTGAGACTTTCAGGGTTAAAACCAAGAAAGTCCCAGGGAAACCAGGACAAGTTGGTAACTCTACCACAAAATACATCTCTGTATCTATTGTGAGGGCTCTGTTGACGCCATGGTCTATTATATTATTCTTTATGAGGCTCTCAGGAGAAATTCTTGTCTGGTCTACATACCAAGAATCGTTGTATATCCTCTAAGGAGTAAGTGGTTTGTTTTTATCCTGTGAACACTGTGAACTGTGTGAGTGAACAGGTTTCCCTTTTTGCTTTGGCTGCTGGAAGTCATAGAACTAAGTATGTATGACACAAATTTAGCTGCATAGGTCACTATGTTCTGTACTTTTTGTATCATTCCAGGCTCCACTTTTTCCCTACCTTGTTTTTTTTTCTCTTTCAATTTTACCTTGCCCTGTCTTAAATTTAATGATCTTGTTTTGTTTTATTTTATTATTTTATTTTATTTTTGAGACGAAATCTTGCTCTGTAACCCAGGCTGGAGTGCAGTGCCATGATCTCAGCTCACTGCAACCTCCACCTCCCAGGTTCAAGAGATTCTTCCACCTCAGCCTCCCAATAGCTGGGATTACAGGCGCACACCACCAAACCCAGCTACACTTTTTTGTGTGTGTATTTTTAGTAGAGATGGGGTTTCCCCATGTTGGCCAGGCTGGTTTCGAACTCCTGACCTTTAGTTATCCACCCACCTCGGCCTCCAAAAGTGCTGGGATTACAGGCGTGAGCCACTACACCCAGCCGATCTTATTTTATTTTAAATGTCTTTCTGGATCAAGGCAGGGTAAAATTGAACAGTTCTTAGAGTCTAGGGACTCTGCCATGAGTCACTGAATATATGGAATGATATGTAAAATTTATGTGTATAAACATATTTTTCTAGGGAGATGGAGCCATAAATTTTAATAACTTCTCAAAAAAGTCTGCATTCCCCCCAAATATTAAGAGCCTCTGGTATAGATGAACCAAGAAACAAATAAATGCTTTTAGTTGGAAGCTTGAAAGTTTGACTTATAGTGCTGATATTTTTAAATGTTGCAATGATGGCATGGAGGAATGTTGGTGGGATGGAACATTGGAATGGCAGAGAGAGGAATGTTGGTGGGGTGGAGTGCTCCCCAGAATGGAATGACAACATGACAGAATGTGGTGTGCTGGAACATTAGTGTGTCAGAATATTAGGATATTCTAGAATGTTGATGTAACTGGGCCTACACAAATGTAGCTGTGTAGGTCACTATGTTCTGCACTTTTTGTATCATTCTAGGCCTTCGCTTTTGTCCCTACCTTGTTTTTTTTTTCTCAATAGAACACCACCTTCCAGATGTCTTAGCATCCTCTTTTTTTTTTTTTTTTTTTGAGACAGAGTCTCGCTCTGTCACCCAGGCTGGGGTGCAGTGGCGTGATCACAGCTCACTGCAACCTCCACCTCCCAGGTTCAAGTGATTCTCGTGTCTCAGCCTCTCAAGTAGCTAGGTTTACAGGCATGTGCCACCAACCCCAGCTAATTTTTGTATTTTTAATAGAGATGGGGTTTCACCATGTTGGCCAGGGTATTCTCGAACTCCTGGCCTCACATGATCCACCCGCCTCGGCCTCCCAAAGTGCTGGGATTACAGGTGTGAGCCACTGCGCCCGGTAGTATCCTCTTGCCTGTAGCTCAGTTGTATCTCAGGGTTGGGCTGCTATCTGATTCAGCCTCTGAATCTCCAACATTCCCTAGCTCAGTGCCCTGTAGGGGTCCAGTAAAGATCCAATTGGTGGTTCACGCCTGTAATCCCAGCACTTTGGTAGGCCAAGGTGGGAGGATCGCTTGAGCTCAGAAGTTCAAGACCAGCCTGGGCAATAAGAGAAGCCCCATCTCAAAAAAAAAAAAAAAAAAAAGATCCAATTGGCTGCTGGTACATGGGCTTGTGTCAGTTTTATTTTACACTGAGCCACTTTTTCCTTTCTGACTGTGCCCACTCTCCTTCAAGATCTGTCTCAACTACCTTGCAGGCTCAGGACTCGGGTAGATTACCTTGTCCATTCCTGTGTTTTCAGAGCCCGGTTCAGGGGCTGCCCAGAGGGCATGCCAACCCTGTGGCTTAGTCAGGGTAGCCTGACTAAGCTCTTGGCCAGAGGCCTGTCTGCAGCTGGGGCTCTTAGGGCTGGAGTTCAGCTTCTGGAGCTGTTAGGCTGAAGGAGACTCAGGATCCTTGAGGTTAGTCAGGAGCAGGGTAGGCCAGATCAGAGTTAGTTGGGGGAAAGGTGAGGCTTCATTACCAGAAGAACCTGATCCAAAGGCCAAATCCAAGAGCTGGGGTAGGGCATAGATTGGAGTCCAGAGTAGGAGCGGATGGGGAGGAGTTGGGGTAACGGCTGGTCTCCTAGACGTTCACTCCTCCTTTGCTCCATACACTCATTCGTGTGGCTGACACTTGCTGAGGCCTCCTCTGAGGAAGATCTGTCCATGCCCTGGAATTAACAGTCCATAATGGCGAGATGGACACATAGAAAATGACAATCCAGTGTGGTCGGGGCTATGACACAGAGAAGCTGTGGGAGACCAGAGGAGATCCCAACTCAGCTTGGGAGTCAAAAACAATTTCCTAGAGGAATACTCTCTAAGCTGACGCTGGAAGGAGTCAGGGAGGGGTGGGGGGCATTTTCAAATGGGAAGGCTGCCTCAAAAGCCAAAGTGCACGGAAATTTCCCAGTACCTACCTGTGGGCCTCAGATCAAGGTGCTAATCACAGACTGTTCAGTTCTTTGGGCCACACATGTTTGGTCTATCCAGGTCTAATTACCTTCAGACTTTCCCCAGCTATTCCAATAACCCACAAATTGAAGTATGTTGCAATCAATTCCAACCAGGAGAGGATAACTGCATCTTAAAGTGTGGAGACATTTCCTGATTTTGAGAGAACAGAATTTTCTGGACGTGCAAAGCCTGCTACCTCCCAGCCACCCTGCTGCCATGGCCTTTCTTCTGGGCCCACACATTAGCTATGTACTCATCCCAACAGCTGGGTGGGCCATTTACTCCCGGGGTGACCATCTCAGTTACTTCAACTTTGAAATGAGCTCCATAATGGTGTGGGGAATGCTTACTAAACTGGGTGGCAAGAGAACTATATTCAAACCATGGAGGCTTCACCAATGGCACTGTGTGAGGTTGGGCAGGGCATTTCTCTCTAGAACTCAACTTTCCTACCAGTGAAAAAGCAGAAAGGATGCAAAGGGGCTAGGATCTCCCTGCCTTGATGGTCCATGTCTATGTCAAATGCTGTATGTCCTGTTTTTGGCCTGCTTCTTTGAAATAGAGGCCACGTGATAGAGTGGATTCTGCAGACAGAAGATTTAGATATGATTCTGGTTCTGACTTGCTTTGTAAGTCTGGGACAGCCATGAAACCCCCTCCGAGCCCCAGTTTTCTCATTTGGTAAACTGAGGTAATACCTACCTCACAGGGTTCTGTGAGGCTCCAGTGAGCTAAAAGCAACATAATGATGACGATGACAATGATGATGATGGTGGTGGTGGTGATGGTGATGGTGATGGTGATGGTGATGATCTGTCTCCACAGCAGTCAATCTCTTTGAACGAATTACAATTGTGGTTGTTGCCAGGAAGTTAGGAACCACCTGCAGGGTCATAGAGAATGTGAACAAATCTTTGAAAGACTTCCCCATGGCGGAGCAAACATTCCCAGCAAGAGCTATTACTGAGGGGAAAAGAGGAATGAACTCGTGCTGACTAACTACGCCCATTTACTTCTTCCATTCCTGCAAGGTAGGTGTTCGTGTACCCATACTAGCTGGGTAACCAGTATATAAACCTTTCAGAGCCTCAGTCTCTTCACCTGTAAAATGTAATATTACCAAACTCAGAATTGGTGAAGCCTATAGTGGACATTGATTGCTCTGGGCCACCCAGCATCCAAACACTCCCTATCTGGAGGAATTCCAAGCTATGTGGGAGCTGAAGGAGGCAGCAACTCCTCCTGACCCTTGTGGGCTTGTGATTGGCCAAGTCAATGCCCTACATGGGCTGAGTCTGGTGGCAGTTAGCAGAGGGGCAAGGACAGAGATTACTTCAGGTGGCTGCAATGGGGCAAGAGCCTAGCAGTGCAGTGGTGATCAGCAAGTATCTGTGTGGCTAGAGGCAGAGTCTGTCCTAAACACATAGTTCCCATGGCAGGACTTTGGCCGTGCCCAGCTGCCCTTGATTCTCATCTAGCTTTGTGGTCTCCCTGTCATTTCAGTGAGACATCCAATAGCTTTCCAGTAAAGACCCTTTTTGCTTAATTTTGCCAGAGGTAGTTTCTGGCAACTACCTCTGAGAATTTGTTTACAACTGAGAATCTTGACTGGTACAGCGTAAACCCCATAACATGCCAGACACAATGCTCAGCATATAGTAAGCACTCAAAAAACTATAGACACACACACACACACACGCGCGTGTGCACAGAAACAAAAGTTCAGAGAAGTAAAATGATCTGCCTAAGGTCACACAGCAGGTGGTGCTATGGGGCTGGACATGGACATCTTGGTGGTACACTGCATTTAATTAATTAATTAATTAATTTGAGACAGAATCTCACTCTGTTGCCCAGGCTGGAGTGCAGCGGCGCAATCTTGGCTCACTGCAACCTCCGCCTCCTGGGTTCAAGTGATTCTCCTGCCTCAGCCTCCCAAGTAGCTGGGACTACAGGCGCCTGCCACCACGCCCAGCTAATTTTTGTACTTTTAGTAGAGGCACGGTTTCATCATGTTGTCCAGGCTGGTCTTGAACTCCGGACCTCAAGTGATCCCCCCGTCTCAGTCGTCCAAAGTGTTAGGATTACAGGCGTGAGCCACCGCTCCCAGCCGGTACACTGCATTTAGATATCACTTTACTTCATAACACATTGTAGAACAATGTATTATTAACACATTTCTTCGTAAGTATCCAAACAACCTAGTGAGGCCAGAAGGGCTGGGATATTCTCTTGAGACAGAGAGGAAGGCATTAGCTCAAGGTAACCCTGTAAATAGTGGTGGCCTAGAATCCAGGTCTCAAGTCCACAGCCCAGGGCCGGTGCTCTGGTCATGTTCACACATGTGAGCTCACACATGCACACGCTGCTACATTTTATGAAGCAGCTCCATCGGAATACATGGCTACCTGATGCATTAGCAACCTGGGGTGAGTCAGCAGCTGCCTGTGAGGCCATCAGGGAGGGAACACCATGTACCAGAACTTGCAGAAAGGAGTGCTTCTGCAGCTTCCATGTGATCTGGGGTACAGGGAAGTGGGGGGGGATGGTGCTTGAGAAGAAGGATGGGAGGGAGGTGGGGATGGGTAGATTTGTCCTAACTTAGGGCCTCCTCTGGGCCCCAATAGGGCCCATACTTATTGAGGGAGATTTTGGTTCCTGCAGTGTTGGCAAAGTGGCTTAATTCGACTTAATGGAAGAAAAATGTGTAATGAATATGGATAATGCATACAATGAGGCCCCAGGGAGGGCTGGTTGGAGGAAGGGTGATGAGCTCATGATAAGTCTGAATGATAATGAGGCTGTAGCTCCAAGGGTGAGCCCAGGTAGAAGACATCGGGGACAACTGCTCCTCCCTAGGGGAGTGGGATCCTCCTGCTGACCTCTGTCCCCACCCTGCCCTGGCCTTCAGACCTTGACCTCCCACTTGGATAGAGTTACAGAATGTCAGATTCACAGGATTCTGGTTTCACAGGATTAGAATCAGGCTCAAGATTCCACAATTACAGACCTTTAGCACCACATATGTTAACAATAGAAAATTTCAGAATTGAACAGTCTGACAATTGGAGCCCCTTGGGAAGAAATCTAGGAGATCTTTCCCCAACTTTCATTTAGTAACAATAAATAACATCTGTCGAGCACATCACAACTTCCAAAGTCCTTTCACATCTGTACAGACATCGCATAGGGGTGGGTGGTATTATACCTTCAGCTTAAGTATTGTGCAGATCAAAATGGGCTGGCTGGCGGATTGCTTGAGCCTGGGAGTTCGAGACCAGCCTGGGCAACTTGGCAAAACCTCGTCTCTACTAAAAATACAAAAATTAGCTAGGCGTGGTGGTGTGCGCCTGTAGTCCCAACTACTCAGAAGGCTGAGGCAGGAGGATCACTTATGCCAGGGAGGTCAAGACTGCAGTGAGCCATGATTGCACCACTGCACTCCAGACTGGGCACAGAGCAAGATCCTGTCTTAGAATAAAAATAGCCGGGGTGCAGCGGCTCATGCCTGTAATCCCAGCACTTTGGGAGGCCGAGGCAGGCGGATCACGAGGTCAGGAGATGGAGACCATCCTGGCCAACACAGTGAAACCCCGTCTCTCCTAAAAAATACAAAAAATCAGGGCCGAGCGCGGTGGCTCACGCCTGCAATCCCAACAACTTTGGGAGGCCAAGGCGGGCAGATCACCTGAGGTCGGGAGTTTGAGACCAGCCTGACCAACATGGAGAAACCCCGTCTCTACTAAAAATACAAAAAAATTAGCCGGGCATGGTGGCACACGCCTGTAATCTCAGCTACTCGGGAGGCTGAGGCAGGAGAATCGCTTGAACCCGGGAGGTGGAGGTTGCGGTGAGCCAAGATTGCGCCACTGCACTCCAGCCTGGGCAACAAGAGCAAAACTCGGTTTCAAAAAAAAAAAAAAATTAGCTGGGCGTGGTGGCCGGCGCCTGTAGTCCCAGCTATTCGAGAGGCTGAGGCAGGAGAATGGCGTGAACCCGAGAGGCAGAGCTTGCAGCGAGCGGAGATCGCGCCACTGCACTCCAGCCTGGGCGACAGAGCGAGATTATGTCTCAAAAAAAAAAAAAGAATAAAAATTAAAATTAAAAAATAAATAAATAAAATGGGCTGGTCTTGCAGGACAAATTCTATTTTCC
The DNA here is from genome assembly GCF_000001405.40 of Homo sapiens. Taxonomy (NCBI): domain Eukaryota; kingdom Metazoa; phylum Chordata; class Mammalia; order Primates; family Hominidae; genus Homo; species Homo sapiens. The sequence continues at coordinate 52,664,126 of NC_000001.11, read as the reverse complement.
ATATGCCAAGGTTTCGATACCTTTGTCTTCTGTAGTTATATAAACACTTCTATTTGGTATAATGTGTTCAAATTCTCTGTTGTGTAAATTCTGCACGGTCAAGTATGGTTTTTCAGAATGCATTTTGGCATATTGCAATGCTCAAAAATATGACTATCATTGTTGCATCAGCATAATCAGGGTTGGTACATTCTGCGATAGCTTTTTGGCAGGTTTTATCATCCAGCACTATTTTCAGTTCACAAAGGACTTAAACAACATATCCAAGAATAGATTTAAGTCACTAATGTAAAGACTGAACTTCAAGTTACTTCAAGGGTTAGTCAGCACATGTTCTGATTTTCTTTCTTTCTTTTCTTTTTTTTTAGACGCAGTTTCGCTCTTGTTGCCCAGGCTGGAATGCAATGATGCAGTCTCAGCTCACTGCAACCTCCACCTCCCAGGTTCAAGCGATTCTCCTGCGTCAGCTTCCCGAGTAGCTGGGATCACAGGCATGCGCCACCACGCCCGGCTAATTTTTGTATATTTAGTAGAGACGGGGTTTCACCATGTTGGCCAGGCTGGTCTCGACCTCATGACCTTAGGTGATCCACCCGTCTTGGCCTCCCAAAGTGCTGGGATTACAGGCGTGAGCCACCGCGCCCGGCCACATGTTCTGATTTTCTTAGAATAAGAAGTTAAACTACCAAAGATACGGAAAGAAGAAAAAAAGCAAACATAAGCTTTGGTGGATAGGAGCGCATAATGAACGCCACACAGAGGGGTGGTTGCGGGGAGGGCGGAGGAGGTGCTTGGAGGGAACCTGTGCTTGGGATTCTGCCAGTAACGGGCTGCGAGGGGTCTGGGGCAAATCCCTCACGCCTCTGGGTCTCAGTTTTTCCCTATTTCAAATGGGGATAATAATTCTCACCCTGGGGAAAGTTCGGGAGTTGATCAGCCCGGGAGGACATCTGCAGCCACAGGACAAAGAGCTAAGAGAGATGGAGAAGAGGGAGGGGTGTGGAACCGCAGGGAGCTGCGAGGGGCTTACGGCTTCCATGGTAACCTACAGCAGCCAGGAGAGAAGGCGGGGCTTGAGAACCCGGAGCTGGAGGTTTAGAAGATGAAGGTTTCACAATGAAGCTCCCTACTTCCCGGAGAAAGGCCTCCTTGGAGATAAGGCTGGCTGCACGACAGCAGCCCTCTGTGCTGGACAAGTAGTGATTTTGCCCTGTGCTTGAATAAACAAACCATGGCACTTTCCACAGTGTATTTAACTGTCTATTTAACCTAGCAGTCTTCCTCCAGTAGCCTGAGAATTCCCTGAGGGCAGGAATTATGACTGATTCATTTCTTTGTTCCTAGAGCCCAGGACAAGACCTGGCACACAAAAGATAGTCTGTTGGTTAGCGGACTATGGCTGAAGGTGGGGCTAGAGAGATCTACTTGTCCAGAGCCCTTGGAGCCCTAAGGGGTACTCTCTTTAAAACAGAAAGGGTGGGGGGGCGGTACCTCACGCCTGTAATCCCAGCACTTTGGGAGGCCTAAGTGGGCAGATCACTTGAGGTCTGGAGTTCAAGACCAGCCTGGCCAACACGGTAAAACCCCATCTTTATTTAAAAAAAAAAAAAAAAAATTAGCCGGGCATATTGGCAGGGGCCTGTAATCCCAGCTACTCACAAGGCTGAGGCAGGAGAATCACTTGAACCCGGGAGGTGGAGGTTGCAGTGAGCTGAGATTGAGACATCGCACTCCAGCCTGGGTGACAGAGCAAGACTCTGTCTCAATAAATAAATAAATAAATAAAATAAAATAAAATAGAAAGTTGACAGGATAGAATGCTTCCTCTACCTGGATGAGACCCTTCAAGTATTGCCATGGTCCATCAAGATTAAGTTCAACCCCTGCTTCCTCCATGAAGGCTTCCAGACTGTTTCTTTTCTCCTGCCTTAGAATCTTTGCAACTCTAATGGTCCTTACCCCACATCTTGGCATTTGTTTGGGATCTCTCTCTGACTGTTCTCTAGGGGTTTCACGGGTCAAACCTACTCTTCATCTCTAGTAAGTAAGGCCTGAAGGGCGGGGTTGCAGGATTATTATTATTTTTTTTTTTTTGAGACGGAGTCTTGCTCTGTCACCCAGGCTGGAGTGCAGTGGCGCAATCTCAGATCACCGCAACCTCCTCCTCCTGGGTTCAAGCGATTCTCCTGCCTCAGCCTCCCGAGTAGCTGGGATTACAGGCACCTGCCACCATGCCTGGCTAATTTTTTGTATTTTTAGTAGAGACGGGGTTTCACCATGTTGACCAGGCTGGTCTGGAACTCCTGACCTCAGGTTATCCGCCCTCCTTGGCCTCCCAAAGTGCTGGGATTATAGCTGTGAGCCACCATGCCCGGCCGTATTCTATTCTAAGGGCTTGTCACAGTGGTGGGCCCACAGTGTGTCTTCAGTCAACTCTCTCAGAGTGGGTCATCTGCTCTGGGTGGCCTTGATCCTGTGAGGGATGGAGAAGGTATGCAAGGAGCCCTTCACACCCCTGTGAGTGTTCCACACACGAGACTTCCCAGGTGGGACCCAGGGTTCTGGGACCGAGCAAGGCATGGAGCTCTCCTGGGCTGTGGCCTGCAGCCTGGCTTTGGCTGTCTTGTGCCCTGGCCCCTGAGCCAACAGGCACAGATCAGGAGGAGCAGTGTCATGAGTCAGTCAGGCAGTAGAATGGCCTCCCCCTGACCGGAGGACAGATGTCTAGGGCCCAAGTCATTTCTTGTGGATACATGAGACATCACTGTCCTTTAGACTTCTGAAGGATCTGCAACCAAAGGGCCCCAAAGGCAGAGATCCTGAATGGCAAATTTCACTTCAATGTTACAGAGAACAGGAAGCAAGTGCTCACAAAAGGTGTTGTCGAGTTCCTTTCCATGCTTGAAACCCTTTCCTGTGGCTCCCTTTTGCCCTCGGGATAAAGACCAAGCCCCTTAATATGGCAAAGGCTTCAGGACTTGGCTCGTCTACCCTTCCAGCTTCATCTTTCACCATTCCCACCTTGTGTCTACCCAAACTGAACTACTTATTGTTACCTGAAAGAACCATATGGTCTCTCTTAGCCATAGGTCTTCATGTATGCTGTTCCTTCTGCCTTAAATGCTGTTCCTCATCTTGTACCAGAAACCTCCTTTCACCTGTCAGTGGGTCCTTTAAACTTAATCCAGTTATTGCTTACTCCAGGAGGCCTTCCCAAAGTCTTTGGCTAGATTAGGGATCTTTTGTAAATGCCTGTAGCAATGAGCTTCTTGAAGATAGGGATCGGGACCTCATTTAGCCAAGATTCTGGCAGAAAATCATTGTCAATCAATGTTGAATGGACAAACAAATGTGAACGTCTGAGAAAAAAACACCTAGCAGGATAGCTGTAAAGGGGAGTGGAATGTTCTAACGTTTCCAAGTTCCAAGATTCAACATTCTCTAATTCTGGGCTGAAGATTCACTCCCCTCCATCCGAAGCCCACTCTCCAGCTAGCTCCTCCGCCCTGTGCCCTCTGAGTGTTTGTTCTCAGGCAGGCACACACACATGTTCTGAACATAACCGGGAAAGCAATTTACAAGAAATAATTGCCGGTCGATGTGTGCTTGGGAACAGCGGTGAGCTCAGACTATTTCTGTCTGCGTATCAGCCCACCCAGCATCCTCCCACTGCGGCTGCCCTGGGGGAGGGGCTCCTATCACACAGGGTGGGCAGTTTGTTTCTAATGCAGGACCCAGACTAGCCAACCCCAGTGACAGCCGGCTCTGAGCCTTGATTGAATTCAAAGGAGAGGAGCTGTTGGGGGGCAGGGAGGGGCTTTATGAGGCCTAGGATGTGTAGGTCAGCAAAAGCAGCATGTACATTCCCTTTCTCCAACTGTTGGGGAAATTCTACCAGGTCTTCAGGGCCTTGCTCAGTGTGCGGTCTCCCCCACATCTCTCTGGCTCGGAGTCCTCAAAGCTTGTTTTTGTTCTTGCAGAGGCTGTTGTGCTCAAAGGGTGGTCTCAGACCAGCATCATCAGCATCACCTGGAATTTGTTAGAAATGCAAATTCTGGGGACTTACTCCTGACCTACTGAGTCAGACACTGGGGTAGGAGGCCAGCATTCTGTGTTTTAACAAGCCCTCCACACAGCTGATTCTGATGCAGCCTCGAGTTTGAGAACCACTGCCTTAGGCCGCGGATGACCACTTTAGCGTTTGGAATGCACACAGCATCTCCCCCTTCTGACTGCTAGCAGCCTAAAGGCAAGGGCATTATCAGATTCTTTCCTGAAACCTCCCAGTCTCCCTTGAAAGTGTTCAGAGAAAAGTTGGATTTTTCTGATGAGGATACCAAGGACAGAGAAGGAATTCGTCCTGTGAAGGGTCGCACAGAGCGTCAGGGACTAAACATCCCAATATCACCCAGCCCCACCACATATATACAAGTACCCTAAGCTCTTTCTATAACAAATAACTTGCAGGTCCTGGGCCACACTGGCTCGCTCTCACTATTGTGAACAAGCTGTATTCTGACCATAATGTTTTCTGTTCCTGTCTCACCTGGAAACTTTGAGTCATCTTTGATGATTCAGCTCAGACATCATTTCTTCCTCCCTAAAGCCCCATGAAGGGCCACCACTGGGCCTCCTGGCCATTTGTGTGCCTGCCTTGTCCTCCATGTGAGCCCCTTGAGGGTGAGAACTGTCTGATTCCTCTTGTTTGTGGCAACCTGCACAGGTCCTAGAATAGAATGGATACCACTAAGTGTGCAGTAAATGGACAAGGGTGCTGGGTTTTAAGTGCTGAAAATAGGCTGGGTGCAGTGGCTCACACCTGTAATCCCAACACGTTCAAGGCTAGCCTAGGCAACATAGCAACCACCCGTCTCGATAAAAAAAAAATTTAAAAATTAGCTGGACACAGTGGCACGCACCTGTAGTCACAGTTGCTTGGGAGGCTGAGGCAGAAGGATTGCTTGTGTCAGGAGTTTGAGGTTGCAGTGAGCTATGATCTCCACTGCACTCCAGCCTGGTGACAGAATGAGACTGTCTCAAAAAAAAAATGCTGAAATAAAAGAGCACACACACACACACACACACCACCACCACCACCACCACCAACAACAACAAATGAAGCAAGACCAGAACCAAAATCTCTTGACTTCCAGCCTAGAACACTTCTGTGGGTGACTCACCCTGTCTTGCCACCCCATCATGTACCCTTTGGCTGGCCTCAGGCACAGGTATCTAAGAGTGACTCTTTCACTGTTGCCAAATCCAGCAGCAGGTCATGTCACTGTCTGAAATGTCAAGAGCTGCTTTTGGTGGCTGCTGAGCTGCGTCTCCACAGTCCTTGTCTTGCATTCCGAAGGCGAAGCCTAAAAGCCATCGCCAAAGTTAGGAGAGCAGCCAGGAGGGAGGGCTGACAGTCAGCATCTTGCCCTAAGATTCCTTTGCGATCAGATTAATAATAAGACATGTTAAAAATAATAATAATAGCTAACACATAGTGCTTTCCATTTGCCAACACTTTTCTATGTACTTGCATGGACTTAGTAATTTAGTCCTTCCCCAAGCCCTATTAGAAGATACTACTAAGATTCCAGCTTATATAGATGAGAGGACTGAGGCACAGAGGTTACCTAGCAAGTAAGTGACAGGGGCAGGATTTTAACCAGGCATTTGGCTCCAGAGTTGTTCAGTATTACATAGTTTACTGTTATTGTCCATTTGTAATTTAAAAAGTCTTTTAGCAGGAATACTATGTTATCATCCATTGGTCATTTAAAAAGTCTTTTAACAGGCCAGGTGTGGTGGCTCACATCTGTAATCCCAGCACTTTGGGAGGCCAAGGCAGGCGGATCACTTGAGGTCAGGAGTTCAAGACCAGCCTGGCCAACATGGTGAAACCCCGTCTCCACTAAAAATACAAAAATTAGCCAGGCATGGTGGCACACACCTGTAGTCCCAATTACTTGGGAGGCTGAGGTGGGAGGATCACTTGAACCCGGAAGGCGGAGGTTGCACTGAGCTGAGATCATGCCATTGCACTCTAGCCTAAGTGACAGAGCAAAACTCCGTCTCAAAAAAAAAAAAAGTCTTCTAGTAATTTAATGTTTACGAAGTGAGTTCAAATCCATCACCTCATTGAACACTTGCAATAACCCAGCAAGGGGACTGAGGCTCAGGAAGACAAGGGACTTTATCAAGGCCACACAGTGGCAGAGTCCACCCTCTGGAGCCTGTATTCAGTCTGATAACCATTCATTCATTCATTCATTCTTCTTCTTTTTTTGTGATGAGGTCTTGCCCAGGCTGGAGTGCAGTGGTGTGATCATAGCTCACTGCAGCCTCGACCTCCAGGGCTCAACTGATTCTCCTGCTTCAGCCTCCCAAGTAGCTGCAACTACAGGTATAAGCCACCACATGTGGCTAATTTTTAAATTTTTTGTAGAGTCTGGGTCTCACTGTGTTGCCCAAGCTGGTCTTGAATAAGTGGGCTCAAGTGATCCATCCACCTTGTCCTCCCAAAGCTCTAGGACTACAGGCGTGAACTGCCGCGCCCTGCCCCTATTCATTCTCTCACTTAGCACTCACTCCTTCATCTACCTAAGAAATAGAATGACGCCTGAGCCCTGTGCACAACATACTCCCTCTCTATCCGTCCCTCTGCAAGGGGCTTACTCCAGGATGGCGCACTCCAGGGTGAGGCAGAGCTGCTGAAGAGGCAGAGATCATCCCCCTCTGAGGGCTAATCATCTTCTCAGGGGCTCCTAAATACACCTACTGTGGGGCAGGAAAACCATGTCAGAGTTCTCTGACTTCCCAGTTGGGTGAGGGGCTCCTCTGTGCCTTCACAGGCCCCAGGCTTCCACCCGATTGCATGGAGTTGTTACTGACCATTTTTCCTAGGAGTCATGTCAAAGTTCTTTGGCCCACAATAGGCCAAGCAGAACAGTATGGCAGGGTCCACAGCAGGGCTGGGTATCTTTGCTGGGAGAAGCCCTCATTTATCATGCTAGGCTCTAAAGTCCTTTCCCACTCCCACCTTTCACTGAAGAGACTCCAGAAGGGGATGGTATGGAGACATTTATTGAATGTTTATGGGACTGGTCCACATAGGTCAGGGTTGGGTACAGAGGCTTCCTCAGGGCTGCCTGGAATGTCACTGGTGGTCACTGTGGCCATGAAGCAATGATGGAGGAGGCGTTTGGAGTTCACAGCCTGCCCCTCATTGCTCTCCAGCTGCGGGTTCAAGCAGGAGTAACTCTGCTGGAGAGGGCTCACTTTTGGCACTTCTGCCGCCATGCCTGTGTTCACACCTTGGCAGTCAGGAGAAACCTCCTCAGGGCCTGGAAAACAGCAAACTGAGGGTGTGTGGCTCTCTTCTTCCCCAACAGGATCACACTCCCCAGCTGACTTCTCTGGTGCTTACCTTGGGCAGTGCACTGTGGTCAGAGCCTTAGAAGCATCATTTGTTTAACATGTATTTATTAACAATACACCACATTATGCACTGAGAGCTGTCAGTGTTGCTCATGAACTTGTAGTTTGGTGGAGGAAACAGATAAGAAACAATTGTTAAGAGCTATGAAGACTTGACCTTCACCATAACCCTATGAGGTAGGTACTATTAGAAATCCATTTTATAGATGAGAACACAGGATTACCATACAGCTAGTATGGAGAAGAGTGGTGGACATTTTTAAAACATAGATTGTTCTCGCTTTGAGAATAGATTCCATGCTTCTCTTTGCTGAGTGACTTATCTTCTCTCTTCCTCTTAAATCAAAGCTTGAAAGGAAGTCCACTTGGCCTTATTATTCTCTACCTTCCATTCATGACTTGTTCAGCTGCAACTTACTTTGTTCTGCCCCCACTATACCTTCAAACTATTTGTCACTAAACCCATAGTCACTTCTAAATCCTTATCTCCCTTATCAGGAACATTTAACATTATTTATTTATTTTAAATTTTACTTTACCAGTTATAGGACTCTGATTCTTTTTTCCTTTTTCTTTTTTTAATCAGGAGCATTTGACACAATTGAACATTTCTGTCTTTCTAGATAAAAAAATGTATCAAGTGTTTAAGCCAAAAATTCGAGTCATCTCTCACACCTTCTACCTCGGCCCTTTCACAAAGCCAGGTCCTGCTGGTTCCACCTAATAGTCATCTGTGGTATCCACCCATTTCTCTCCATCCTCAAGGCTACCACCTTAGATCAGGCTTTCATCTTCTTCTGCCCAGACCCCTGGAACGGCCTCCAGTGGGGGCCCCTCCATCACGTCCTCCATGCTGTAGCCAGAGAGATCTAAGATCTTTCTAAGATCAAGTGAGTCTATGTACTATTCTTTCTGAAAGCTTTCAATCTCTTTCCATTACCTGTGCTCCTTGAGATGGCATCTCATTGTGGCTTTAATCTGCATTTCCTTAATGACTAATGAAGTTGAACATATTTTCATGTGCCTATTTGCCACCTATATATCCTTTTTCAAAAACATTATTTTATTTTGAGATAGGGTCTTGCACTGTTGCCAAGACTGGAGTGCAGTGGCTTGAACATGGCGCACTACAGCCTTGACCTCCTGGGCTCAGGTGATCTTCCCACCTCAGCCTCCTGAGTAGCTAGGTCTATAGGTGTGCACCACCACATCCACCTTTTTTTTTTTTTTTTTTTTTTTTTTTGTAGATACAGGGTCTCATTATATTTCCCAGGCTATCCTGAAGTCCTGGGCTCAAGTTATCCTCCTGCCTTGGCTTCCCAAGTTGCTGGGGTTACAGGCCTGAGCCACCATGCCTGGACATTTTAAAACATAGATTGTTCTCTGTTTGTCTTTAATGAAGTGTCTGTTCAAGTCTTCTGCTCATTTTCTAATGGGATCATTTGTTTTCTTAATGTTGAGTTTAGGGTGTTCTTTATATATTTTGTTTTATTTATTTATTTATTCATTTATTGAGACATATCACTCTGTCACCCAGGCTGGAGTGCAGTGGCGTGATCTCAGCTCACCACAACCTCCATTTCCTGGGTTCAAGTGATTCTCCTGCCTCAGCCTCCTGAGTAGCTGGGATTACAGGCTTGTGCCACAAGACCTGGCTAATTCTTTTTGTATTTTTAGTAGAGACGGGGTTTCGCCATGTCAGCCAGGCTTGTCTTGAACTCCTGACCTCAAGTGATCCACCCACCTGGGCCTCCCAAAGTGCTGGGATTACAGGCATGAGCCACCACACCCGACCAATCCTTATATATTTTGTCAAATATGTGAATATATTCTCCAGTCTGAGGCTTGCCTTTTCATCCTCTTAACAGGATCTTTCACAGCATTAAAATTTTGAACTTTGATGAATACTGGCTTATCTTTTTTAAAATGTATTGTGCTTTTGATGTCTTGTTTAAGAATTCTTTGCATAACCGCATGTCATGAAGATTTTTCCCTGTTTTCTTCTAAAAGTGTTAGAGTTTTTTGGTTTACATTTAGATCTTTTTTGAGATAATTTTTGTACAAGGTGTGAGATCTAGGTAAAGGTTTATTTTTTACTTATGGAAGTTTAGTTGTTTTAACACCATTTATTGAAAAGACTATCTTCCCCAGTTGAATTGATTTTGCACCTTCATCAAAAATCTGTTGGACAACCTTATGATGTCAGTCTACTTCTGGACCATATTTTGATCTATGCATGTGTCTGTCCCTCCTCCAATACCACACTATCCTCCTTACTGTTTATTATTGTTGCTATACAATAAGTCTTAAAATTGAGTAGTGTGATTTCCTCCAACTTCATTATTCTTTTTCAGTATTACTTTAGCTATTCTAGTTCCTTTGTCTCTCTATATATAAATTTGAGAATTAGCTTATCTATCTATCTATCTATCTGTCTATCTATCTATCTATCTATCTATCTATCTATCTATAAAACTGCCATTTTGGCCAGGCACAGTGGCTCACACTTGTAATCCCCACACTTTGAGAGGCCAAGAAGGGAGAATTGCTTGAGCCCAGGAGTTCAAAACCAGCCTGGGCAACATAGCAAGAACCCATCTCTACAAAAATAAAAAATTAACAGGGTGTGGTGATCCCTCTCCAATTGTGGGGGTCTGAGCAGCTGCCAGCCAAGCCTTCCAGAAGTTACAAGACCTTGGCTCAAGTCCTCATTCTGGTATTAAACGTTGTGCTACTTTGTGCCAAACCCTTCTCTTCTCTGGATCTCGGTTACTACTTCATAAAATGGAACAGAAAATACGACTGGCCTAATTTTCTGTGAATTCTTTTCCATTGAGCTCCTTGGGAGGCTGAGGTGGGAGGGTCACTTGAGCCCAGGAAGTTGAGGCTAGATTGTGCCATTGTACTCCAGCCTGGGTAACAGAGCAAGGCCCTGTCTCAAAAAAAAAGGGCGGGTTGCAATTTTTATGTTTACTATGTTGAGTTTTGCAATTCATGAACATAGTGTATTTCTCCATTTTAGGTCTTCTTTGATTTCCTTCATCAGCATTTTGTAGTTTTTTTTTTGTTTGGTTGGTTATTTTTAGAGACAGGGGTCTCCCTCTGTTGCCAGGTTGGAGTATAGTGACATGATCATAGCTTACAAGTGAGCCTTGAACTCTTGGGCTCAAGGGATCCTCCCACCTCAGCCACATGCCATCATGCCCGGCTAAGCATTTTGTAGTTTTCTTTTTTTTGAGACAGAGTCTTGCTCTGTCACCCAGACTAGAGTGCAGTGGTGTGATCTGGGCTCATGGCAGCCTCCGCCTCCTGGGCTAAAGCAATCCTCCCATCTCAGCCTCCCAGTAGCTGGGACTACAGGCACATGCCACCATACCCTGCTTTTTTTTTTTTTTTTTTTTTTTTTTTTGTAGAGACAGGAGTCTTGTCATGTTGCCCAGAATGATCTCGAACTCCTGGGCTCAAGCGATCCTCCAGTCTTGGCCTCCCAAAGTGGAGGGATTTTGTAGTTTTTAACATACAGAACCTGTACATGTTTTGTTAAATTTTACCTAAGTATTTCATTTATTTTAGAGTAACTGTAAATGGTATTATTGTGTTTTTAGTTTGGGTTTCTAATTTTTTGTTAGTAGTATATATAAATACAATTGATGTTTGGTTTTGACTTTACTGTGACCTTGCTAAACAAACTTAGTTCTTTTTTTTTTTTTTTTTTTTTTTTTTTTTTTTTGAGACAGAGTCTCACTCTGTCACCCAGGCTGGAGTGCAGTGGCGCGATCTCTGTTCACTTCAAGCTCTCCCTCCAGGGTTCATGCCATTCTCCTGCCTCAGCCTCCCGAGTAGCTGGGATTACAGGTGCCCGCCACCAAGCCCGGCTAATTTTGTTGTATTTTTAGTAGAGATGGGGTTTCACCGTGTTAGCCAGGATGGTTTCAATCTCCTGACCTCATGATCCACCCTCCTGGGCCTCCCAAAGTGCTGGGATTACAGGTGTGAGCCACTGCGCCCGGCCCAAACACACTTTGTTCTAACAGGTTATTTTGTGCACGTTTTATAGACTCCTTGGGATTCTTTGTTATTTAAGCTTTCATTTTAAGGCATTCCAACTTGTACAGGGATTTACTTCAACCTTCTCTTCAATACAAGAATCCCCTTAGCTGAATCCCATATTTAGCCTTTTCCTGATTACCTTCCATGGATAGAGGTGCTTTTTTAAAAAACAAAACAAAACAATTTAACAAAACAAAAAAACTTGTTTGTTAAAAAACAAAACAAATTTGTAAAGGATTACGAATTTGTGAGTGAAATATGGCCCAGAGTGATGGAGTTCTTTTTGCAGTATTTCAGGTATACTCTAAATAAGTTCTACCTTTATTGACTCAACATCCATCTCCCTATGGCTTTCCCCACTGATTTCAGCTCTGTTCTCTCGATTCTCATAAAAATGTCTGATCCTCTTGTCCCAGAACAACCTTGCAGAGATCTGAGGCCCTAGGCTGTGAGCCCAGAGTCTCCTCTGTTCAAGGCCAACTATCCCCAGCTCTTTACCTAATCCTCACATGACCTGGTTCCCAGATCTGAAGTAGTCACCTGCCTCTGATCATCTGATTGGTCAAAGTCCATCTCACATTATGGGGCTCTGAGCAACTGGCCAGCCAGGGCTCTGGGGAATCCCTTGGGCTTCCAGGAGTTACAAGACCTTGGCTCAAGTCCTCATTCTGATATTAAATCATTGTGCTACTTTGTGCCAAACCCTTCACCTCTCTAGATCTGTTACTACTTCATAAAATGGTGTAGAAAATACAACTGGCCTAATTTTTCTACTTCTTTCCCTTTGAACTCCAAGTTCTGAAGGATTCTGTCTACATAATAGACTGCATTTATTAAGTACTAATTTTTTCCATTCTGTATTAATCAAAGAGCTCTGATCAGCAGGAGAGCACCTATGTTAATTACCCCCTGGAACTGATATAATTCTAGCTCAAAGAGAAGAAACTTGGTCCCTGTAAAACCTTTGCAATATTGTAGCCAGCTGAGGCAGGAGAACTGCTTGGACCTGGGAGGCAGAGGGTGCAGTGAGCCGAGATGGCAACATTGCACTCCAGCCTGGGCAAGAGGGTGAGACTCCATCTCAAAAAAAAAGAAAACAAAAATTGTTGGGCCGGGCACAGTGGCTCACACCTGCAATCCCAGCACTTTGGGAGGCTGAGGCGGGTGGATCACGAGGTCAGGAGTTCAAGACCAGCCTCTGGCCAAGATGGTGAAACCCCGTCTCTACTAAAAATACAAATATTAGCCAGGCGTGATGGCAGGGGCCTGTAATCCCAGCTACTTGGGAGGCTGAGGCAGAGAATTGCTTGAACCTGGGAGGCGCAGGTTGCAGTGAGCAGAGATCACACCACTGCACTCTAGCCTGGGCAACAGAGCGAGACTCCGTCTCAAAAAAAACAAAAAACAAAAAACCTTTGCAATATTGGAGATTGCTCAAGAATCCCCACTGCTATGTTTGGGGACCCTCAGGAAATTGGAAACCAAAGTTGGGAACCTACAGAGTAGACGATAAAAAGTTATTTCTGAGATGTGATGGCTGGTGAGTTCTATCCAACTGAAAGTTAATATAGATCATCACTCCTTTGCTTCCAGACCTTATACTCTGTTAATGTGACCTGAGGTTCCACTCACTTTTTTTTTTAGCAATTACATTACATTTTTGGCTTATGTGGGAAGCTGTTAAAAAAAAAAAAAAGGTTAGGCCAGGCGTGGTGGCTCATGCCTGTAATTCCAGCACTTTGGGAGGCTGAGACGGGTGGATCACCTGGGGTCAGGAGTTCAAGACCAGCCTGGCTAACACAGTGAAACCCCGTTTCTATTAAAAATACAAAAATTAGCCGGGTGTGGTGGCAGGTGCCTGTAGCCTCAGCTACATGAGAGGCTGAGGCAGGAGAATTGCTTGAACCCGGGAGGCGAAGGTTGCAGTGAGCCAAGATCACACCACTGCACTCCAGCCTGGGTAACAGAGGGAGATTCTGTCTCAAAAAAAAAAAAAAAAAAAGGGTTTTAAAAAAAAGAAAATGGTATGTTTGAGATTGCCAACATGTAAAAATTGAAGCGCCTAATAATAATGAAAATGACAGCCACTAATTGTTAAAAGCCTACTATGTGTTTGAGACTAATTAAATACCAGTAAGCATCATTTCTAGTTTTTGCAACAACTTTCTTAGTAGCTATGAGGGTACACATTTTAGAGTAAATTGAGGCCGAGAGAAAAATGACTTGCTTAAGGCCACACACTGACAGCAGCAAGGCCAAGATTAGAACTAGGTTTTCTGGCATCTCTGCCCAGCGCTGTGCCTTCCCTCCTTTCTCCAAGGACCTCCGTGGCCAGTCCCCCATTACCTGGGGTTCTCAACCCTGAACATGGGCCTAGCCTGTGGTGACCAGCTTGGAAAGGAGTTCTCAGGTTTTCCCCCTGCTTGGAGGAGTCAAAACAAACTCATCACTGACTGAAGCATGTTTGGTTCCTCGGCGTTACCTCTCAAGTATGGTTAATTAAAAAGCAGTGGGCTCTGGGGTGACATGACTGAGCCTTCTGTGGAAGGTGGGAGGGGCTGATGAAAGTCATTCTGCAGTATAGGGGCAGCTGCTGCAGGGAAAGGTCTCTGGCTGGGAGGCAAAGGCTTGGCCACCAATTGGCTGGGTGACCTTAGGCACATGACTGCCTCTCTCTGGGCCTCAGCTGCCCCATCTATACAGTGAGAGCATCAGACTTTATTTCTAGGAGCTTTTGAGTTCTAGTTGATGAGAATGGCTGACTAATGACCTCTTCACCAACAACTTTCAGAAAAGGATAAGAATTGGACTCCTTAATTTTCCCCCCAATGTTTTAGTATCTTATTAAATGTACCTAGATATCACCTCTACACTCACCTCACTGACCTCATCTGCAAAATGGGAGTTGATAATAATCACCAGGCAGAGTAGTTGAGCAGGTTAAAGGGGATGATGTGTTTGAAGTCCTTAGCACAGTGCCCAGCTCAACAGTAGGAACTCACTTTTCTGATCTAGCCAGTTCCTCACAAAGTACCAGAATAAGAAAGTTATGGTCTTCATTGCCATCCCAAGTTTGGGGATGGGATGGGTGTGACGGTGATGGGACAGAGTACAGAATGCCTGGGCAGGGAAAGAAGCCTATTTCAGAAACTGCTTTTCCATTTACACTCTGCTCTTGCCAAGGCACTCCCCACCCCACCCTTGCCTCCATACTCAGAGCTAAGGAACCCAAGGGACAGTGCAATCATAGGCTTTAGAGTCTGGGAGATCTGGGTTGACATCGCAGTGACACATGCTCACTGGCTATGTGGACTTAGTTCATTTCCCTTGGCTGAGCCTTGGTTTCCTCTGCTATAAAATGGGGGTAAAGACCTCTCTCCATGTCCTATTGAAGCGCAAGAGAGCAAACAGAAATGAAAGTCTATCAACAGTAAAGCTCTGATGAATGTAAGAGAGTGGGCCTGTAACCATCTCAGATGCAGAAGGAAGCTCCTGGGTTGATGCTTTGGGTGCAGAGGGAAGGAGAGGCCAACACTTAATGAAGAAGAAGGGTAGGAACTAAGAGCTGAGTTTGAGCAAAAAGCAGAGAGAGCCTAAAGCTGTTATTTAGTAAAAGGTCAGGCAATGCACTTTTCTTCTTAAAAATAAGAAACAAAAATCAAGAGGACATGCTGTCTCAAATTCTCGTGACTGAATAATTCAGCTGGTGGCTGAGCAGTGAAAAGCAGGAGGATGGTTTCCATTCACAGGGCCGAGGGATGAACTGTATTCCGCTTGAGCCAGAAAAGTAGGAATTAGGGGATGGGTAGGGTGGGGTGAGACTAGGAGCACAGAGCACAAGCCAGAACATCCCACAGTCCTGCTCTAGGAGGATGGAAAGAGCAGGACTTTGGAGGCAGAAAGACACGTGTTTGATTTCCAGCTCCACAATCACAAGCTATGTATGACCCTTGTGCAAATCATCTAAGCTCTCTGAGACCTGATTTTTGCATCTGTAAACTGGGTTATAATGAGACCTACCTCACTGGGATAGCTGGAAAGATTAGAGGAGATGGTGTGTGTGAAATTTCAAACAGTGTCTGGCACATTGTAGGGATGCCCCTTTCACAGCAACAGGGATAAGGAGAGGAAGGAGGGTGAAGGGGAGAGTTGGCTCTGTCACTCATTCGGTGACTTTGGGTCTCAGTTTCCTCATCTGTAAAATGAAAGTAATAGCATGATCTATACCCTACCCAGTTACCATAAAGAGCAAATAATATGGTACATTTAGAGCTAGTTCATTCCTTTTGCCTATATTGTATCAATATTTAATTATTCTATTATACCACAGTTTATGATCCATTCCTCTACCTATGGACATTTAGTTTCCAATATGACAGGTTCTTAAGATGTCTGTCTTTACAAAGCCTCTCCTAATGCAACTATTTAAGGCAGCTAATTAGAAGTAGAATTACTGAGTAACAGGGTATATATATAAAACTAACAATTATATAATATTGATAATTAATTATGTAATAATGAAATATATTATATATAATTATATATTAGATATGTTAATATATAATTATATGATATATTAATATATAATTATATATATTATTTAAATAGATATTGCCAAAATTCTCTGTAAAGTGGTCGTACCAATGCATACTCTTACCAGCAGTATATGAGAGTACCTGCTTCCCCCATCCCAACCTTCCAACCTTCTCACTTTTAATATGATACATTTTTGGGCTTTTGCCAATTTGCCAATGTAATTTTTTTTTTTTAATAAAGATTTTTCTTTTTTTCTTTTTTTTTTTGAGACAGGGTCTTGATCTGTCGCCCAGGCTGGAGTGCAGTGGCCGATCCTGGCTCACTGCAGTCTCCACCTCCTGGCCTCAAGCAATCCTCCCACTTTAGCTCCCCAGGTAGCTGGATCTACAGGCATGTGCCACTATGTCTGGCTAATTTTTGTATTTTTTGTAGGGATGGGTTTCACCATGTTGGCCAGGCTGGTCTCGAACTTCTGACCTCAAGTGATCTGCCCGCCTCCACCTCCCTAAGTGCTGAGATTATAGGTGTGAGCCACAGTGCCTGGCCTGGATGTATCATTTTTGAATTGCATTCCCCTGATTATTAGTAATGTTGAGCATCTTTTCCTGTGCATTGGGCATTTGCATTTCTTTTTTAACAAATTACATTTTTCTTATCTTTTAAGGTGTACTTATATCAATACTGCCTTGTTTTATATACAGTTGATTCTCATTATTCACGGTAGTTATATTCTACAAAGTCACAGCAAACACTAAATTAACAAATACTGAATTATTGCTCCTAGGGGAAATACAAGGTTATGTTCCTGTGAGCCTCTGGTCACATTTTTGTCAACTGATCAATATGTAACTTTGTTTTTCTATGTGTGTTTCTGTTTAAAGTGACCTTATTTAATATGTTATTGATTCATTAACATTGAACTCATGGCCAACAGCACTATAACCTAAAACTCATGTCTCTAAAACAAACAAAAACAGGCCAGGTACAGTGGCTCACACCTGTAATCCCAGCACTTTGGGAGGCCAAGGCAGGCATATCACCTAAGTTCAGTAATTCAAGACCAGCCTGGCCAATATAACGAAACTCTGTGTCTACTAAAAATACAAAAAAAAATTAGCTGGGCATGATGTTGGGTGCCTGTAGTCTCAGCTACTTGAGAGGCTGAGGCAGGAGAATTGCTTGAACCTGGGAGACGGAAGTGGCAGTGAGCTGAGATCGCACCACCGCACTCTAGCCTGGGCGACAGAGCAAGACTCCATCTCAAAAAATGAAAATAAAAATAAACCAAAACAAAACAGTGAAATCACCCATTAAAAATAAAAAAATACAAAAACCATGGCACTAAATAGACTGAGAAAAAGACACTTGCTTGTACCATGAGAGCTGCAAAGAGAAGGCAGAGCATACCTTATTCAATATCACCTAGGATACATGTGTAAATCAAATTTTTTGCTACTCTGTGTGTGCCCACATTTACAAATGACCTCAGAATTGCCTTGAGTATTGATGCTGACGTTACAAGTAAATTTTAGCAAGTAGGGAAATTTGCAAATACAGAATTGGAGAATATGAGGACTAATTGTGTGTGTGTGTGTGTGTGTGTGTGTGTGTGTGTGTATAGATATTTAATGTAATATAATATCTTTGCAGCCCATCATTTGTTTTTTAACTTCACATACAGTGTCATATTATTTGTACTTGATGTAGGGACATTTGCCAATCTTTTCCTTTATTTTTTAGAAAATTATACATTTTATACAAATTCCTATATTTTTATTAGTCTGTTTCTGGACTCTTTCTATTCTAGGTTTTTCAACTTTAGTACTCTATTCTCTACTCTAGGGTTTCTCAACTGGTACTATTGACATTTTGGGCCAGATAATTCTTTGTTGTGAGGTACTGTCCTCTTTATTGTAGGCTGTTAAACAGCATCCCTGGCCTCTACCAATAGTTATCAATAGTATCCCTTCCCCGAATGTGACAACCAAAAATGTTTACATACATTGCCAATTGTCCTAGGGGAACAAATTTGTACTCAGTTTAAAACCACTGCATTGCCCAATTCTATTTGTCAATTTCTGTGCCAATATCACAAAACTTATATTTTTAAACAGAAATCCTTTATTTTAAAAAATGTCCTGCTGCCTGATAGAGCAAGTCCCTCCTCTTCTTTGTTTTCCAAAATTGTGTTGTTCATTCTTGCACCTGTATGCCTCTAGATTAACTTTAGAATTAATTTGACAAATTCCATGAAACATTTTTATTTATTTTTATGTATAGGTTAATTTAGGAAGAACTGGCATTTCTATGATATTGAGCCTTTCTATCCACATATGTGCCATATCTCCCATATAGTCAGGTTCTTTTATGTCTTTCATTGACCTCTATAAAAGTTGAAACCAGCTGGGTGTGGTGGCTCACACCTGTAATCCCAGCACTTTGGGAGGCCAAGGCAGGTGGATTGCTTGAGGCCAGGAGTTTGAGACTAGCCTGAGCAGGACGGTGAAACTCCATCTCTACTAAAAATACAAAAAATTAGCCAGGTGTGGTGCTACGCACCTGTAGTCCTGCTATTCAGGAGAATGAGGTGGGAGAATCACCTGAGCCCCGGAGTGCAAGGCTGCAGTGAGCCATGATTACGCCACTGCATTCCAGCCTGGGCAACTGGAGTGAGACCTTGTCTCAAACAAAACAAAACAAAACAAAACAAAACGTTGAAGCCTCAGTTGTCTCTGGTCTCCACCAGGCTGGTTCTATGTGCAGACGTTTTTCTTTTCCCCTGCCACTGCCTCTCAGGTCTTTCTCACTCCAAGAGGAGCCAGCTGAATCCTTCCACCCTCAAAAGTGACCCCTCCTGCTTTTTGCTGCTCAGTCACAGCTGGATTATTCACAGTCATCAGGATCTGAGAAGGGTTCTTGTGCTGTTGCTTGTTGTATTTTTATTGTTAACTTGGAAAATTCGTGTTTACAAATGATGGCATTCAGCCCTCTCTTTCTCTGAGACTTAGCTACTACCCACCTTGCCCCTTCTACCTCCCCGATGCCTCCTGTCACCCTTACTTCTTCTTCTTCTTCTTTTTTTTTTTTTTTTTGGAGACAGAGTCTTGCTCTGTTGCCCAGGCTGGAGTGCAGTGGCGCAATTTCTGCTCACTGCAAGCTCCGCCTCCCGGGTTCACGCCATTCTCCTGCCTCAGCCTCCTGAGTAGCTGGGACTACAGGCGCCCACCACCAAGCCCAGCTAATTTTTTGTATTTTTAGTAGAGACATGTTTTCACCGCATTAGCCAGGATGGTCTCGATCTCCTGATCTTGTGATCCGCCCGCCCTGGCCTCCCAAAGTGCTGGGATTACAGGCATGAGCCACTGCACCCGGCCCCACTTTTTTCTGAGACACGGTCTTGCTCTGTCTCCCAGGCTGGAGTGCAATGGCACAATCTTGGCTTGCTGCAACCTCCGCCTCCCGGGTTCAAGCGATTCTCCTGCCTCAGCCTCCCGAGTAGCTGGGATTACAGGTGCCTGCCACCACACCCAGCTAATTTTGTATTTTTAGTAGAGACAGGGTTTTGCCATGTTGGCCAGGCTGGTCTTGAACTCCTGACCTCAGGTGATCCACCTCCCTTGGCCTCCCAAAGTGCTGGGATTACAGGCATGAGCCACTACAACCGGCTGTCACCCTTACTTCTTTTGCTTAGCTTAAATTTCTCCCCCAGGCTGCCTGGCCTTATTCCCTGTGGTGCCCAGTGTGAATGACCCTGTCACTGCAGAGGGCTCACTCAGTCCGGTCCACACACATGTACCCACTACTTACCCTATGCTGGGACAGCCTTTCTCCTTTTTTTTTGCCTTAGCAACTTCTTCACTAAACTCAACACTAACTCAAGTATCCTTCCCTGTTTGAAATCTTCCCTACACTTTGTATCAAACAATTTTGTGCTTAGTTATATACTTGCACATACCCAGTATGGTGACTCGAGGCAGACAGATGTGAGCTGTATTTCAGCCCACCACTTATTAGCTATGACACCTTAAGCAAGTCATCAAAACTCTTTCAGTCTTGCTTTTCTCATCTGTAAAATGGATTTAATAATACCTATTTTGAGCATTGGCTACCAAACTATACTGAAAGATCTTTTGCCAATAGAGACTTCCTTCCTCCCTTCCTTCCTTCCTTTCTCTTTCTCTCCCTTCCTTACTCCCTCCTTCCCTCCCTCCCTCCCTCTCTCTCTCTCTCTTTCTCTCTTTCTTTCTTTCTTTCTTTCTGAGACAGTCTCACTCTGTCGCCCAGGCTGGAGTGCAATGGCGCCATCTCGGCTCACTGCAACCTCCATCTCCCAGGTTCAAGCGATTCTCCTGCCTCAGCCTCCTGAGTAGCTGGGATTATAGGCGCCTGCCACCATGCCTGGCTAATTTTTGTATTTTTAGTAGAGACAGGGTTTCACCATGTTGGTCATGCTGGTCTTGAACTCCTGACCTCATGATCCGCCTGCCTCGGCCTCCCAAAGTGCTGGGATTACAGGCGTGAGCCACCGCGCCTAGCCCAGAGACTTGTATCTTTCATAATATCTTTCAGGATGTTGTCAAAATGTGTGCAAAAAAGGCTTGTGAAAAAGCAACACTTTATTTTTGGCCCCTTAGAGGCACTTGATAACCTATACTAATGAAGAAATGGGTAGTCTGGAACATCAGATTATTTAAAAAAACGCATACACACAATAAAAGCGCTTGTATTTCGTTTCTGATAAATTATGAGTTTGGAAGCAGCAGATTTTAAAAATTAATTCTATTTTGTTTGGGTTAATATTAAAATCAGTTTGCATTCCCCAAGGCTAAAATTAAAACATCATCTTAAACAATCCACAACATGGATTAATCTTTGTGTGACAAATGGAGTGTTGTCTACATTAAATTATTTTGACAAACAATGTAAACATGAAGAGTTTAGGATGGAAATGTTTAGATCACGAATCTCCAGAAAAATGTGCCGCTGCTTCTGCATATTCCAGGAATAGTCATGAGGCAAATGTTCCAAACATCATTTCTACATTTCTCCCCCCTTGAAAAGGTGCTAGTCTACCGAATACAAGGACATCACCTGGCAACTTCCTTACCTGCTGTCTGTAAGCTCAAGCCCAGGTCCAACTTTGTGTGGGGCTTAGAGCTGATGAACAGGTAGCAGAGCACACAGGCGGTAACAATGAAGGCGAGAAGAACCACTGCTGCTACGGACAGGCCTATGAGAGCGCCAATGCTGGGAAGAGAAGACCACATGGGAGCTGAGAGTCAGGAAGGGACTTGGGAGACAGATGTTATAAAAGTGTTGTAGCTAGGCTAGAATGAGCCTGCTGGGAAGAAAATGTACAGAATAAAAATATTTAAAAAAAATTTTAGGCCAGGCATAGTGGCCCATGCCTGTAATCCCAGCAATTTGGGAGGCCGAGGCGGGCAGATCACTTAGGGTCAGGATTCAAGACCGGCCTGGTCAACATGGTCTAAACACTAAAAATACAAAACTTAGCTGGATGTGGTAGTGGGCTCCTGTAATCTGTAATCTCACCTACTCGGGAGGCTGAGGCACGAGAATCACTTGAACTCGGGAGGCGGAGGTTGCAGTGAGCCGAGATCGTGCCACTGCACTCCAGCTTGGGTGACAGAGCAAGACTCCATCTCAAAAAAAAAAAAAAATTAGTGTTGTGTTGTAGGAATCAGCTTTGACTTTTGTTTTGTCCCTACTTGTCTTAAACAAGCTTTCTATGCTTCAGCATGGGAAAGAAAGTGCACCAACTATATGCCAAGGACTCACCACCAAGGACTCATACCTGACCCCGCTCAGCAGCACCATCTCCTTCCCTCCCTACTTTCCTCACCTGCTCCCACCCCAGGGACCTGGAGATGGTCTTAGGGGACCCCCCCATACTGCTGTTTCTTAAGAATCAAGACACATATAGTAGGCCTTAGTTAAAAGCCAGCTCTCCTTCCAGCCTTAGGTAATTTCTTTTCTTTTTGTTTTAAGACAAGTTCTTGCTCTGTCACCCAGATTGAACTGCAGTGTTGCCATCTAGGCTCACTGCATCCTCAACCTCCTGGGCTCAAGCAATCCTCCCACCTCAGCCTCCCAAATGGCTGGGACCACAGGCATGTGCCACCACGCCCAGCTATGTTTTTGTATTTTTTGAAGAGATGGGGTTTTGCCATGTTGCCCAGGCTGGTCTTAAATTCTTGAGCTCAAGCAATCTACTCATTTTGGCCTCCCAAAGTGCTGAGATTACAGGCATGAGCCACCATGCTGGCACCCCCTCCCACTCACCCCCGCCTCTTTTTTTAAAAAAAAGAAAATAGAGACCAGGTTTTGCTATGTTGTCCAGGCTGGTCTCAAACTTCTGGCCTCAAGCAATCCTCTCACCTCAACCTCCCAAAATGTTGGGATTACAAGCATGAGCCAACCGTGCCCAGGCAAGCCTCAGGTAACTTCTGACCCAACCTCCATGGTTCTGCTGACAACGTCAGTGTCAACTCCATGTCTCAAATACCTCCACTGCTGGTCCCTCACCCTCCAACCTCACTGCCTCTGGCCCCAAGTCAGGCCTTGGTCACCTGGTCTGAAGGAAGAAACAGCTTCCTTTTTTCCTCCCACAACACTCAACACAACACTTCTGACACCAGATGTATGGGGGGGTTTTCCCCACACGTCAAGCAATTCTCCAGCAGACACCATCAATTCTGGAACCATCTCTAGGCAAATAGTGTCAGCTCCCACAGGTTACGGGCTCAGTCCCACAAGACTCCCTCCTGCCCTCCCATACCAATTGCAAGTAGTAGGTTGTCACCTATACTTCTGACCCACCAGCTATAAATCAGTGTGCCCATTGCCCCTTCCTTGGGGTTGATTAATTTGCTAGGACAGCTCACTGAACTCAAAAAAACACTTATGTTTACCAGTTGATTAGGAAGGATATTACAAAGGATACAGTTGAATGGCCAGATGGAAGAGATACATAAGGCAAGGTATAAGGGAGGGGCGTGGAGCTTCCATCTGGTCTCCAATCACACAACCCTCCAGGGACCTCCACGTGTTCAGCAATCCAGAAGTTCTCTAAACCCTGTCTTCGGGATTTTATGGAGGCTTCATTACATAGGCATGATTGATTACCATTGGTGATCAACTCAACCTCTGGGCCCTCTCCCCTCCCTGGAGGTTGGAGTGAGGTGGGGCTGTAAGTTCCAGTGCTCTAATCACATGGTTGGTTTCCCCGGCAACCAGCCCCCATCCTAAGGCTCTCCAGGAGCCCACCATGAGTCATCTCATTAGAACAAAAGATGCTCCTATCACCCAGGAAATTATAAGGAATTTAGGAGCTCTGCGTCAGGAACTCGGGGTTCAGAGACCAAATTTTAGAACAAATGATGCTCCTAGCATCTCTATCTACAAGGGCTTTAGGAGCTTCAACTCAGGAACCAGGGGCAGAGACCAAATATGTTTTTTTTTGTTTGTTTTTTTTTTTGTTTTGAGACAGAGTCTTGATTCTCCTGCCTCAGCCTCCCTGGTAGGCGGGATTTCAGACCTCAAGTGATTCCCCCGCCCTTGACCTCCCAAAGTGCTGGGATTACAGGCGTGAGCTACCGTGTCCGGCCAAGACCATGTTTAATCAGCCTTATCCTCCCATTGTCTAGGCCCTGGCATGTGGTAGGCAGTTGGTAAATATCCTTTGGTACCTACTATGTGTCAGGTGTTATGGAACACTCTCCCAATGAGAAGGTATAGGTGGCATCAGGCTTTGTCCTTGCCTACCCTTTCTTCTCTAGCTCTCCTGCCCATTTTCTTCCCTGACTCTGGCCCCAGACACCTGCCCTTGCCACTTCTGCAGGATTTCGCTCCCTGTTAGTTAATGGCTAATTTCACTCAACCAAAACACCTGAGAGCTTTGAAGAGTCTGCCTTCCCATGGCTAAATAAATTATTGGACATCTCTGCAATGGAACAGTATAGCATATATAGAGACCTTATTAATGATATAGATGTTTTCAGGCAGGGCGATGTGGCTCATACCTGTAATCTCAGCACTTTGGGATGACAAGGTGGGCCGATCACTTGAGTCCAGGAATTCAAGACCAGCCTGGGCAACATGGTGAAACCCCATTTCTACAAAAAATACAAAAATTAGCCTGTCATGGTGACCACATGCCTGTAGTCTCAGCTACTCAGGAGGCTGAGGCGAGAGGGTTGCTGGAGCCCGGGAGGTGGAGGCTGCAGTGAGACATGATGGTGCCACTGCACTCCAGCCTAGGTGACAGAGCAAGACCCTGTCTCAAAAAAAAATGTTTTCAGATCTTTTAGATTTTAATATGTTTTGTTTTGTTTTTTGAGATGGAGTCTCACTCTGTCGCCCCGGCTGGAGTGCAGTGGTGCAATCTTGGCTCACTGCAAGCTCCGCCTCCCAGGTTCATGCCATTCTCCTGCCTCAGCCTCCCGAGTAGCTGGGACTACAAGCACCCGCCACCACGCCCGGCTAATTTTTTGTAATTTTAATAGAGACAGGGTTTCACCGTGTTAGCCAGGATGGTCTCGATCTCCTGACCTCGTGATCCGCCCGCCTCGGCCTCCTAAAGTGCTGGGATTACAGGCGTAAGCTACCACGCCCAGCCTAGATTTTAATATCTAAGATAATGGATAAATCTTTATGAACTTATTGATAATATTAATTGAAAAGAGCAGGACACACTACTAATTACATGGCATAACCCCAATTTAACTAAATAAGTATACATATATGCATAACTATACACATGTACACATGCAAGGTTGATGGAGATACACCAACTAACAGGCTGTCTCTGGGTATAGTTCAGGATGTGGATGTCCTGTCTGGGGCCCCTTGGATCTTATCATTGTGGAATATTCTGATACTCTAGCCAAAGTTTCCTTCTTTTTTTTTTTCTTTTCTGAGACAGGATCTCACTCTACCACCCAGGCTGGAGTACAGTGGCACCATCATGGCTCACTGCAACCTCAACCTTCCGGGCTCAAGTGATCCTCCTGCCTCAGCCTGTTGAGTAGCTGGGACTACAGGCATGTGCCACCACACCGAGCTAATTTTAATATTTCTTTTTACAGACTGGGTTTCACCATGTTGCCCAAGGTTGTCTCCAACTCTTAGGCTCAAGCAATCTGCCCGCCTTGGCTATCCTGGCCAAAGTTTCTATTGCAAACAGCTGTTACCTCTTTGTCTGAGGGGTTTCTTGGGCCCAGAACAGGCTCTGTGGACACACTGGCAAGTCAATAGTGCAGGATAATCAATACCTTCCTTACCCCACCAGCCCATGACCGATGACTGACAGAAATTGTTAGCTAAATATCCAGCTTCCTGGCCGTCAGGTGGGATAACCCTGAGGAGTACATTCTACACTGGCTGGCAGAGTTTAAGCTCCAGTTACCTCTGGTGTAATTTGCTTGGTAATACACCCATTGTTGGCTTCTTTCTCTCCCTGTCTCACTTTCTTATCCTCTACCAGTGATTTTTGGGATCACTTTCCACATAAACTACTTGCCATCAAATCCTCATCTCAGAGTCTCCTGGTGAATCCAAGCTTAGACACTGGATTACTCATGACTTCTTTCTCTTTTCATTTCTCTTGTCCTTTTCACATTTTTTACATTGAGTATGTAGGGCTTTTTAGTTCTTTAGTTACTTTAATTAAACATTATTTTCTCATTTGAGATATGCTTACTGTTCGTAGGGCTGTTATCTAGGAGAATTGTGCTTTGCTTGGGACCCGTGTGTGGGACAACTCTGGGTTCCTGGATAGAAAGGGGCCTCTAAGAGAGGCCCTTTGAGGAGTGAGGGGGAGAGTTTTGTTTGTCCCTGTCTACCATTCTTTCTCCAGCTTTCTTGCCCATCCTCTTCCCTGACTCTGGGGTGATACATTCCAGATCGGAGGTCAGTCAGGGGGCAGGCACTGTCTCTGCTGGTCTGTCCTGGTGACAGAGGAACTAAACTCCAAGGACAGAGTTGGGAACAACAGGGCAGGCTCCAAAGAAGGAAAATCTGTGCTTGGCATGAGATGAACTTCAAATGATCCGAGTTGTTCCATGGTGAATGTACTGCCTCAAGCAGGGATGAGTCCCTGTCATGGGAGAAGCTTGTGCAGGACACACGAATGAGTTATATCTTTCAGTGAAGTTAGAGATTCCTACCCTGGGTAGGAAATTGAATTAGAGAGCCTCGAGTCTTCGAGGATTTTACTGTTCTGACTCTGAAAGATAAAAACCCACTGTGACTCCTAAGAAAGAATTGGAGGGACAATCTAACAACCAAGGGCTTTGGAGTCAGGTAGTTCTAAGTTCAAATCCTGGTTCTGCCACATTTAAGCTGAAAAATCACTTTACCACTCTGACCTTCATTTTCTTCCTTTATAAAGGTTTCTATCTCACCAGGTGGTGGGAAGGATGAAATGAGGTGCTGTAGACACGGTCTGACCACAAACTCTGCCTTCCGGCAAGGCTGCTGTCTTCTGGCTCACACCCTCGTAAAAAAACAGAACTAGTGATGGAGGAGGGTGTTTGGCAAGTGGACCAGACGGTGTGACAGCACCAACTGCTTCTCCACAGGGTGTCTTCACTTCCTGAGGCACAATTTTAAAGATAGCAATTCTCCTTGAGCACTGTCTCTCCCAGGAAACAGTGCTTACCTGGAGATTTTGAAGTTTTTAAGGACTGACTTTCATGAAAAGGGCCAAACGGAATTTACAGCAAAACAAGGTCTCCACCCTGCAATATCCGGGCTCTGTTAGGAGCATGCCGGAAGAGTTATTTCAAGGTTCAGAGCACGTTGATGCCCTAGACATCCTGAGGACTTTCAGTTCCTCTCCTGCACTTTGCAATTGTCTGTGGTATTTATGAATCACATTATGTCTGAGTCCAGGAAGAGTCACCCTAGAGCCTTTAGCCACCTTGGGGTCACAGAATGGGAACACACTGACATGGGATGTTACCCCAGAGATCAGCCCATCCAACCCCCGAAGAAAGCATTGTCTGAGCCACTAAAGCATGCCACGTCAGAGTTTCCAGGGCAACGGAAGGGACCACAAGACACAAGAGCTGTGTAGGGAAGGGGTTAGTGGAAGAGGGAAAGGGTCCTGGCTGGGTGCTGAGAGAATTACTCACCTCTGTGTCCCCAGGGGCCAGCACAGTGCCCAGAAGACACTAGAGGGTCAGTGAGTATTTTTCAGATGATCTGAGTGGATCAGGTTGTTAAGAGAGATCCAGACAGTAGTAGACAGGACAAGCCAGGGCTTGAGATGAGACAGGCCTGAGTTTTCAACCCAGCTCTGCCACTGCCTCTCACTGGGACACTCCCAGATAGTAACTTAACCTTTCTCAAGTTTTCTCATGTGTAAAATGAGAAGTGCCAGGGTTGTGAATGTGTGAGAGCATCTAACCCTTGGATAGTCTTAGGTAATGTTCTTTAAGTCTCAGTCTGCTATGATATTGCTAGGAGATCTCGGACAATTCACTTCCACACTGAATTTCACTTCCCACACCTATGAACCAAGGAAAGGGAACTCTCTTATTGAGCACCTAACATATGCACTGGTCACTTTCATGTGCATTATTTCTCTTAGTTCTTACAATTCCATCACACAAATATCTCTATCACCATTTTAAAGTTGAGAGAAAATACTAGGAAGTTAAATAACTTTTCCAATCCACATAGATAATAAGTGACAGATTCTGACCAGCCCCAAAGCTCCACACTGTCTCTGTACTATCACACAAATATCTCTATCACCATTTTAAAGTTGAGAGAAAATACTAGGAAGTTAAATAACTTTTCCAATCCACATAGATAATAAGTGACAGATTCTGACCAGCCCCAAAGCTCCACACTGTCTCTGTACTATCACACAAATATCTCTATCACCATTTTAAAGTTGAGAGAAAATACTAGGAAGTTAAATAACTTTTCCAATCCACATAGATAATAAGTGACAGATTCTGACCAGCCCCAAAGCTCCACATTGTCTCTGTACTTACAAGGGAGGTCAGTGCCATCTTATTTCAGAGCCTAGCTCAATGCCAACTACACAGTGGGCCTTCAACAAAACTTCATTGTTTCACTTTAGGTGAATGTTGTGAAAGTGCCCTAGTGAATATTATCACAGTAAGAGAAATCTGATACAGAAAAATTATCACAGTGAGAGAAATCTGACATAGCTGACTCCATCTTGTGTCTAACTTTACGAGCTGTCTTTCTTCATTCCTGGGCA
Source organism: Homo sapiens (assembly GCF_000001405.40). Taxonomy (NCBI): domain Eukaryota; kingdom Metazoa; phylum Chordata; class Mammalia; order Primates; family Hominidae; genus Homo; species Homo sapiens. The sequence goes on along the minus strand of NC_000001.11, from coordinate 52,635,850 downwards.
CAGGCCAAGTTAACTATAAGAGGAATTTAGTTTATAGTTTAACTTTAAAACAAAGATGATAACAGCCCCTTCCTAAAACTAACACCCTCCTTGCTCAGGGACTGCAACTGCCTTTGTTAAACTAACAAATTAACCACAAGGTTAGAATTATGGTTCAGGAGTCGTGTAGCTGGAGGTCACATGATTTGTAATCTCCTCAACTCCTCCTATAGGAGGAGTTGTAAAACCTAAAACTGGTGTTTGAGGTATCTTTCAGACCTTTCATTTTGATAGACCAGTTGGTGCCACCTGGACCAGTAACCCATACCAATAAACTGGCTCAACTGGTCTTGTGAGCTCCCCTACCCAGCAACTGACTCAGTGCAAGAAGGTAGCTTTGATCCCCTACGATTTTATCCCTAACCCAACCAATTGGCATTCCCTATTCCCTAGCCCCATCTGCCACCATTCCTTGAGAAACCATAGTCTCCGAATTCTCTGGTGGGGTGGGGGGTGGGGAATGAGGGTGTGGATTTGAGAATTATGTCCTATTTTGCCACTTGGTTGGCCCTGTGATTATTAAACTCTTTCTTTGCTGCAAAACCTGTTGTTCTCAGTGCATTGGTTTTTTTGGGCAGCAAGCAAAATGAACTTGTCAAGTGAATACCATTGTATCTCTAAATAAACTGTGAGTTCCTCAGGGGCAGGGAATAATTGATTTTTGTGTCTCCAATACCTTGCAAAGTGCCTGGCACAAAGTAAAGGCTAGAATGAATGAATGAATGAATGAATATATGGATGAACAGAAAATACATTAATATAATTCCCTGGGTTATAGATAGCACAAATATGTAGGATCTGATAACCTGGCCATCTGAAAATCATTTAGAATTGTGGATCGAGTCACCTAGAAAAAGCAATAATATTTGTAATTGTCATTGGCATATGTCAAGTTGATTTCAGCTCTGTTATGTATGTCATTTGACCGTTACCACTGCCTTAGTCAGAAATCAGGGCAATGATTGATCATCCTACTGCCCGTTTGATAGATGAAAAGCCAGAGACTTGAGAAGTTTTCGTGGCATAGGACACTGTCCTTTCCCACCCAGAGGGCAGCAGCCTCTGCTCATATACCTCCAGGGACAGGAAAATCACTAACTACTGAGATGGCCCACTCAATTTTTGCTGATGCCTGTTTCCCAAAGTAGGCTGAGGATCAAGTTCCATTCTCCAGGTAAGGCCTTTGGAGACCCAGGGGGATTGAGACCTATTACCCTCTCAAGCCAACACTTAGGCTCCAGGAATGCAACCTCTTCCCTGAACAAATGGGGAAACTGAGGTCCTATGGGTGGAGAGTCAACACTTCTATGAATATGGCCTGAGCTAGCTTCTGCACTATGCCATTGTCTCATGATGAACTTGGAGGCAGCTCTGACTCCCGAGTCTTCTGCCTTAGCTTGAGGATGGGGTACATCCCCAGCACTCACCACAGGGCTTGGCACACACCAAGTGCTCAGTAGAGAGTGCCCGAAAGAATGACTAAATACAAAAGGGAACCAAGGGTTGACGCTGGGCTGAGGCTGGGGTTGGGGTGTAGCACCAGGCGAGGGTTAAGTCTGGAGGTTGAGGTTTGGATGTAGATCTAGATATTAATAATATTTGGAGTCAGGATGTGGGAGAAGAGCTGAGGTGGGACTGCAGGCAGGACAGAAGAGGAGGTTGGGGCTGGTGATAGAATAAGGTCTGGGGTCAGTACTGGGGAGTGTGGAAAGTCAGGAATAAGGCTGGTGTTGATATTAGGAAGGGCACCTTGGTGGGATGATGATTGGGGTGGAGTTGGGCTGCCTGTGAATGTTTGAAGATGGAAGTTGCTGTTAGGGGGAGGCTTGATATGTGATTTGGGGTTGGGATGAGGGTGGTGATGGAATGAAGTTTGGGGTGGGGATAGAGTGAGGATTGTTTTGGATTAGAGGAGGGGGAGGTCCGAGCATGGCTCTAAATAATGGTTGGGGTCAGGATGAGGAAATCGAGCTGAGATGGGGTTTCACGGGGTGGTTGATGCTGTGGGCATGAGGACGGTAAGGACTAGAGCTTGCTGCTGATGTTCAGGTGGACACTCGGGTGGGGGCTGAGGCTGGGGTGAAGGCGCTGAGACTGGAGTGGGGTTCAAGGTAGGGTGAGGGCCAGGGACGGTACCTGAGCCACCACATGTAGCTGTGCTCGTAGGGGAAGAAGCTGTGCGGGTCGTCGCAGCAGTACTTGTGGTCGCGGAAGCCGCAGCAGAAGACAGCGGCCGCCTCGCCCCCCGGCCGCGGGCAGCTGAAGCCGCGCACCACCTCCTGCTCTGCGCTCACGTAGCTCGTGCAGGCGCCGCTCATCGCGCCCCGCGCCCAGCCCGCCGCCACCTCGGGCCACCAGACGGCCGGCTAGAGCCCGGCGGGGAAGCGAGGGACCGAGCGAGACGGAGCTGAGCCTGAGAACGGCAGAGACGAAGAGACCCAGGGGCCGAGAGAAGCCGAGACAGAGACAGCAGCGCGGGGCCCCGAGGACCGAGCGGCGGCCAGGTGCCCGGCCCGCGCGGAGGGGTAGGGGCAGGCGGGGCGGGCGGCGGGGGCCGGCGGCGGGAGTGACGGCTGCTGGAACGCGGCAGGAGCCGGAGCGGACGCGGGGAGCTGGGCCGGGAGCCGCGTGCTCGCCTGGCTCTGCCTGCGCTTCCTGCCCCCTCCCCACTGCGCTCCCCCTGCCTGCACGAGGGCGCTGGGTGCGCAACGACAGCACGACGCGGCCAGAGTGGCGGGGCGGGAATTCGAGGCCAGGGCGCGGGCGCCTTACCTGCACCGAGCCGGCGCCGGGAGTCTCGGGGCATTCGGGGCTGGGGCAGACAGACAAGGCACCAGCCGGCGACCACACGGCGGGGTCAGTGAGGAGAGTGAACACAACCTCACCCAACCTCCGCAAAAACCCAGGGGCCCGGGGATGTTCGCATCCGTGTTAAAGGTGAGAGCTGAGGGCCAGAGAGAAGCCATTTCCCGGAGTTCCTAAGCCCACGAGATTTTAACCGGGGGCGGCCTAGTAGGAAGTCCTTGCTCTTTCTGCGGCTTTCATGGTGCCTCTTTTCTAGCGGGCTTTTAGATGTCCTCATCATCTGGAGTCCCTGCTAGTCTCGCTGAGAGCTAGCTCGTGCACGGACAATGTCCACACTCTTCTGTTCATACTGCCTGCCACTGGCCTGGGACAAGGAGCCGAATATGGGTGTGGATGGGCCCAGACGGTAACCTCCTTCCCCACACTGACCAGCAAAGAAAGTCAGCAGACCTGTCCATTTTGAAAAATTACTTCCAGAGAACAAGGGCAGTGTTCTCACTAGCATCAGAGAACCACAGTCTGAAGGGGCTCTCAGTGCCTTGGCTTCCCCCATGTACCCTGTTGCCTTACGCCATCTGGAAGGGCTTCATACAGCACCTTCAGTGCCTTAGCTCTACATTTTTCACAGCAGTGGGTAGGGTAGGAAATAGTTACTGTGGTGCCTCGGGCACCCCCGATTCCTTCGCCCTTGGTTTGGACGTGTGGGGAACGGGCCGTGGGTATCAGGGGATCTGGGCTCCAGCCCAGCTCTACCCCTTCCCTGCTGTTTCTCTCTGAGCTTTGGGTTCCTTGTCCTCACCCAGGCCAGCTCCTCAGATGCTGATTGTGCCGCTGCCCTGACCTGGGTGGGCCCTAGGGCCCCTGAGAGGGATCAGATCTGGGCCTGCCGTTGAGAAACACACAGTCTGATGGAGGAGTCAGACTGACTGACGATCACAGCACAGGGCAGTAAAAAGGGAAATGCAAGGACCTGGACACAGAGGGGCACCATCTGAGGAAGCAGGGGAGGGCTCTGAGGGAGGCGGTGTCCTCAAGAGTCACTGTAAGGTCAAATATGAAAGCTGGAGGGAACTGTTATTATCCTCCAGAACATTCCTCCCCTGAGCTGTGGGTCTGAGCAGACTGGGAGCTGGAGAGCCTACACTAATGAGGGTGCACTTCAGCCTCTTTATCAGATGGAGAGTACAGGGGAGGAATCCTCTGGGAGGGAGAGGCTTCCTGGAGGCCTGGAGATCAGCTGGGAGGAAGAAAGCGCTCTGCCCTGGCTTTTGGCAAAACTAGAAAGCCTCCAACAATTTCCAAAACCCTCTCCCAGCCAAGAATTAATTTGTTCCTCCCAACAGCCCTCTGGGGTGAGCCACGCAGGGGTGAATGTGCCTGAAATAACAAGTCCAATACCACACAGCGATCAATGGCCCAGGCAGGGCTGATACCCATGTCTGTCTCCATGTCCCCCTTGGCAGTCTGATGAAGCCTATGAACCCCTATTCAGAATAGTGGGTTTTTTTTTGTTTTTGTTTTTTGTGTTTTGTTTTGAGATGGAGTCTCACTTTGTCATCCAGGCTGGAATCTCGGCTCACTGCAACCTCTGTCTCCAGGGTTCAAGTGATTCTCCTGCCTCAGCCTCCCAAGCAGCTGGGATTACAGGCATGCGTCACCACGCCTGGCTAATTTTTGTATTTTCAGTAGAGACAGGGTTTCACCATGTTGCCCAGGCTGGTCTTGAACTCCTGACCTCAAGTGATCCACCCACCTCAGCCTCCCAAAGTGCTGGGATTACAGGTGTGAGCCACCGCACCAGGCCACAAATAATGTTTTTAACTAAAAAAAAAAATTATTTAGGGTTACAGAGGATACCAATTATATTGAATCATGATTTGTCCTACTTTTTAAAAAGTGTCAATAAGATCTAGAGATGAGTCTATTAATTACTATAATTTTGAAGTGGTGAATGAAAATAACTAGTATTTCAATATGTCTCTACTGTAATACAATATGAAAATATCTGTGATTTCTATTGGTGACAAAGTCACAAGCACTACTAATACTATCGTGGGTTTTCTTACCAATATGCATGATGAAAGAAAATACTGAATTTCAGTTAGAGGTAATGCATACCAAGGATGTGATTTTTCCCACGTAAATTCATGAACCTTCTACACTCTATCCAGAGGCTCCTTGGGCTCCATGGACTCTATGTGAACATCCTCTCATGTCTCTGTTCTAGCTCCTACTTTAATGCTTTTTCCTTCATTATATGCATTGTGTTCCTTCATTCTGTTCTCCTGCAGACACTTATTACAGAGCTATGATGTGCCAGGCAATACCCATCCTGTATGTCATGTAGTCCTTGAAAACTTCCTTTGAGGTAGGTGTTAGTCTTCCCATTTTGCAGACAAGGTAACTGAGAGAGAGGTTAAATAATTTACCCAAAGCCACATAGCCAGTAACTGATCAGAGTCCTGTACCGCCTCTTCCTCCCTTCCCAAATGAGGCCTGGGGCCAGAGTCCCCAACTCCAGAAGGGAAAAAAGGCATAGGAGGGAAGCGTGGGCAGGGAGAAATATTTATGGAGAACACACTGTGAATGGGAAATTGTGCTCTGTGCTTTTCATTATCTATCTTTACACCAACTATGTGTAGTATTACTTTCTTCATTAAGAAAAATTAAAAATAGGCCAGGTGCAGCAGTTCATGCCTGTAATCCCAGAACTTTGGGAGTCTGAGTCAGGAGGATTGCTTGAGCCCAGGAGTTTAAAATCAGCCTGGGCATGGTGGCATGCACCCGTAGTCCTAGCTACTTGGGAGGCTGAGGCAGGAGGATCACCTGAGCCCAGGAGTTTGAGGCAGCAGTGAGCTGTGATGGTGCCATTGCACTCCAGCTTGGGTGACAGAGTGAGAAGACACCCTGTCTCTAAAAAAAAAAAAAAAAGAAATAAAAAGAAAAAATAACAAAATGCATATTCGTTATAAAACAACAAATTAGAAAATACAGATAAGCCAAAAGGAAAAATAAAAATCACCCATAATTTCACCACACAAAAATATCTATCATACACCCCCAAACCCTGCCCCCATGCACACAATTATGCGCCCATTTTATGGGTAGGAAAACTGAGACCCAGAGAGGTTAAGTAACTTGCTCAGGGATCTACAAGTCAGAAGTTCCAGTCACCTTCTGTGTGAACTTAGGCTGGTCATGGTCACTTTCCCTCTCTGCATATAGGGCACTAGCTAAGATTACTCCAGATGGAGGATCCTAAAGTCTGGTACTGGGCCAGCCTTAACAGGACCCCTTTCTGCAGGGTACACAAAACAGTGCCCTCAAGACCTTGGCAGCTTTTGCTCCAGGAGCCGAGTTCTCTCAGAGAGGGTCGGGAAAGAAATGTCCCCTCGCTATGGTCTGCTGCACAGCCCAGTGACCACAATCCCGGGGACAACCCCTGGCTGGAAGAGCCAGTTCTGCTCGTGTCACATGGCAACCAATGGCCCAGGCGGAACTAGTACCCTGGCTGTGTGTGTGGTCCCTGGCCTCTGGCCCTGGCAGAGTGAAAGCAGCCCCTCCTCTTCTCCTCCTGCCCTGGCTGCACTGGCCTGAGAGTGTGTACATGGCCACCGAGCTTCCCCCTGGCCAGGATCGGGTACCAGTTTGCAGTACCAGCTTCTGCAGCTGGAGAAGCAAAGAAAGGATGCAACATGCATCAAATCCCTCTGAGTGCCTGGTCAGGAAGGATGTTTTCTCTTTTCTTCCAGAATGAGGCTCTTGTGTCTTGATCAGAGAGAAGCGACCTACACGGTTGGACAGCAAATCCAGGAACAAACCAGTGGCCCACATACCAGCCAGGCTCTTCCTCACTCTTTGTGGCCACACTTTCTGTTTAGGTCTTCGTTGGTTTGCTGTCTGTTTGTTTTACTAGGCGATCTTTCAGACACACAAAGCGACATGAAGAATAATACAGGGACCACCCACATAGTTTACAAAATAAAAAAATTGGCTGACTCTGGGTTCACTGCTTGGGAGTTAGCCCTGCTCTGAAAGGAACAGCTTAAAAAATAAAAAAGTAAATAAAATAAAATGTAAAAAAAAAAAATTTGATCCGGTTTGAAGTCCCTTGCATACTCCTCCCTCCTCCCCAAGAGGTACTACACTCCTGAATTTGGTATTTATTATTCCCATATTCTTATTTATGCTCACATATGCATGGATCTTTGAGCAATGTGTGGAATTGCTTTGCATGTAATTAAATTTTAAATAAATAGCATCATGCTGCATGTATTCTCCTGGAACCTGCTTTTTCACTCAGGCTTCTGTTTGCGAGCTTTGTCTATACTGATGTGTATACTCTATTTAGCTTATTCATTGTGCTATATCGTTCAGTTATCAAATATGTGGTGATTTATTATCCATTCTCTTGGACATTTAGGTTTCTTCCAATTTTTTATTGCTATTTCAAACAATGATACTTTTTTGAGTTTTTTTTTTTCTTTTAAAATCAACTTACCGGCTGGGTGTGGTGGCTCATGCCTGTAATCCCAGCACATTGGGAGGCAGAGGCAGGTGGATCACCTGAGGTCAGGAGTTTGAGACCAGCCTGGCCAACATGGTGAAACCCCGTCTCTACTAAAAATACAAAAATTAGTCGGGCATGGTGGCGGGTGCCTGTAATCCCAGCTACTTGGGAGGCTGAGGCAAGAGAATTGCTTGAACCCCAGAGGCGGAGGTTGCAGTGAGCCGAGATTGCGCCACTGCACTCCAGCCTGGGCACAGAGTGAGATTCTGTCTCAAAAAAATAAGTAAATATAATAAAATCAACATACCAGCCTGGGCAACAAAGTGCGATCCCATCCCTAAAAACAAAGAAAAGAATTAGCGGGGCATGGTGGTATGTGCTTGTAGTCCCAGCTACGCGGGAGGCTGATGTGTGAGGATTGCTTGAGACTGGGAGGTCAAGACTGAAGTGAGCTGTGATTGCGCCACTGCACTCCAGCCTGGGTGACAGAGCGAGACTCTACCTTGAAAACAAAAATCAACTTTATTGAGGTCTATTTTACAAACCATAGAATATGCTTAAGTGTACAGCTTGGTGAGTTTTGACAAACATGTATATCCATGAAACCAACACCACAGTCAAAATACAGCAGTTTTCCATCACGTATCTCCGCCTACTGTGCCCGTTTGCAACCAGCTCTCTTCTCTCCGAGCCTTGCCTTAGGTACCACTGCTCTGCTCTCTGTCCATATAGATTAGTTCTGCCTTTTCTTGAATTGCATACTAATGAAATCAAATTGCATGTCCTTCTTTGGGTCTTACTTCTTTTTGCTCATCACAACATCCTTGAGATACACAGAAACTGTTTTATGTACAAGTAGTTCCTTCCTCTTTATTGCTAAGTAATACTGTATTATATAGAAATACTACAGTTTGTGCATTCAACTGTTAATGGGCATTTGGGTTGTTTCTAGTTTGGGGCTATTATGGATAAAGTTGCTATAAACATTTTTGCAAATATGCTTTGTTTTGGGACATGTGTTTACATTTCTCCTAGCTGGATACCTAGGAGTGGAATTTCTGAATTATAGGGTAGATATATGTTTAACTTTATAAGAAATTGCCAAGCCTGGGCAACACAACATGACCCCATCTCTACCCAAAAAAAAAAAAAAAAAAAAAATTAGCTAGGCATGGTAGCGCAGGCCTATAGTCCTAGCTATTCAGGAGGCAGAGGCAAGAGAATCACTTGAGCCTGGGAGTTCAAGGCTGCAGTGAGCTGATTGTGCCACACTGCACTCCAGCCTGCGCAACAGCCCTATTGAGAAAGAAAGAACAAAAGAGAGAAAGAGAGAAAGAAAGAGGAGGGGAGGGGAGGGGAAAGAGAGAGAAATTGCAGAAATGTTTTCACTAGCACTTAATATTGTCAATATTTTCTACTTTAGCATTCTTACAGGTGTAAAGTGTTTTCTCATTGTGGCTTTAATTTGTATTTCCTTAACGGCTAAGATAAAAGACTTTTTTTTTTTTTTTTTTTTTTAAGAAAGGGTCTCAACTGCCTCACCCTTTTGCCCGGGCTAGAGGGCAGTGGTATAATCTCGGCTCACTGCAGTCTCCGCTTCCCAGGTTCAAGTGATCCTCCCACCTCAGCCTCCCGAGTAGTTTAGCTGGGACTACAGGTACATGCAGCCACATCCGGCTGATATTTGTATTTTTTGGTAGAGAGGTTTCACCTTGTTGGGCAGGCTGGTCTTGAACACCCCACCTCAATTGATCTGCCTGCCTCAGCCTCCCAGAGGCCTGGGATTACAGGCGTGAGCCACCGTGCGGGGCCAACTAATGATAAAGATCTTTTCATGAACTCATTAGCTATTCAGATATAGTCACAGTTCAGAAATACTGCACGTTCAGTTCCAGACCACCACAATAAAGTGAATATCACAATAAAACAAGTCACAGAAAACTTTTGGTTTTGCAGTGCAAACGAAAGTTACTTTGCCAAGATCCATCAGTGGAATCATTATCTATGGCAGCTATAGCCTTAGGAAATGTATTTATTCAATAATATGACTTAAAAGTCAAAATTACTCCTTGATCTATGGGCTGCAGAATGGATGTTATATTAGCAGACATTAAAACAACATTAACCTCCTTCTTTGTACATCTCCATCAGAGCCATTGGTTGACTAGGTACATTGTCATTGAGCAGTAATATTTTGAAGGGAATCTTTTTTCTGTGCACTAGGTCTAAATAGTGGGCTTAGAATTCAGTAAACCATGCTATAAACAAATGTGCTGTCATCCAGGCTTTGTTGTTCCATTTATACAGCACAGGCAGAGTAGATTGAGCATAATTCTTTTTTTTTTTTTTTTTTTTTTTTGAGATGGAGTCTCGCTCTGTCGCCCAGGCTGGAGTGCAGTGGCACAGTCTCGGCTCACTACAACCTCAGCCTCCTGGGTTCAAGTGATTCTCCCGCCTCAGCCTCCCAAGTAGCTGGGACTACAGGCACATGCCACAATGCCTGGCTAATTTTTGTATTTTTAGTAGAGATGTGGCTTCACTATGTTGGCCAGGCTGGTCTCAAACTCCTGACGTCAGGTGATCCACCTGCCTCGGCCTTCCAAAGTGCTAGAATTACAGGCGTGAGCCACCATGCCTGGCCAGATTGAGCATAAATTCTTAACAGCCCTAGGATTTTCTGAGTGGTAAAGAGGCATTGGCTTCAGGCTGGGCATGGTGGCTCATGCTTGTAATCCCAGAACTTTGGGAGGCCAAGTCAGGTGGATTGATTGAGCTCAGGAGTTTGAGAGCAGCCTGGCCAACATGGCAAAACCCTGTCTCTACAAAAAATACAAAAATTAGCTGGGCATGGTGGCGTGCACCTGTAGTCCCAGCTACTTGGGAGGCTGAGGGAAGGATTGCTTGAATCCAGGAGGCAAAGATTGCAGTGAGCTGAGATTGCGCCACTGCACTCCAGCCTGGGTGACAGAGTGAGATCCTTTCTCAAAAAAAAAAAAAAAAAAAAAAGGAAGAAAGAAAGAAAAAAAAACTGGCAGTCACAAGCTACATTAACCCCTAATAAAAGAGAGTCAGCCTGTCCTTTGGATTTGAAGCCAGGCATTGACTTCTCCTCTCTATCTATGAAAGTCCTAGATGGCATCTTCTGATAAAAGGCTGTTTTGTCTACATTGAAAATCTGTTGTTTGGTGTAGCTGCCTTCATCAATTATCTCAGCTAGAACTTCTGGGTAACTTGCTATAGCTTCTGCATCAGACTTTGCTGCATCACCTCACACTTTTATGTTATGAAAACAACTTATTTCCTTGCTTTTTTTTTTTTTTTTTTTTTTTTTTTGAGACGGAGTCTTGCTCTGTCTACCAGGCTGGAATGCAGAGACGTGATCTCGGCTCACTGCAACCTCTGTCTCCCTGGTTCAAGTGATTCTTCTGCCTCAGTCTCCCAAGTAGCTAGGACTACAGGCGTGCACCACAACCCCTGGCTAATTTTTGTATTTTTAGTATAGACGGTGTTTCACCATGTTGGTCAGGCTGGTCTCAAACTCCTGACCTCGTGATCCACCCAACTTGGCCTCCCAAAGTGCTGGGATTACAGGCGTGAACCACTGCACCCAGCCCACTTTTTTGTTTTATTTTATTATTATTATTATTAATTTTTGAGACAGGGTCTTGGTCTGTTGCCCAGACTGGAGTGCAGTGGCATGATCTTAGCTCACTATAATCTCAACCTCCCAGGCTCAAGTGATCCTCCCATCTCAGCCTCCCAAGTAGTTGGGACTACAGGTGTGCCCCACCATGTGTGGGTAACTTTGAATAATTATAATAATTATTATTTTTTGAGACAGAGTCTCGCTTTGTCATCCAGGCTGGAGTGCAGTGGTGCAATCTTGGCTCACTGCAACCTCTGCCTCCCAGGTTCAAGTGATTCTCCTGCCTCAACTTCTCAAGTAGCTGGGATTACAGGTTCTCACCACCATGCCTGGCTAATTTTTGTATTTTTAGTCTTGTTCTGTCTCCCAGGCTGGAGTGCAGTGGTGTGATCTTGGCTCACTGCAACCCCTGCCTCCAAAGTTCAAGTGATTGTTGTGCCTCAGCCTCCCAAGTACCTGGGACTACAGGTATACACCACCATGCCTGGTTAATTTTTTTGTATTTTTATTAGAGATGAGGTTTTGCCATGTTGGCCAGGCTGGTCTCAAACTCCTGACCTCAGGTAATCTGCCCACCTCAGCCTCCCAGCATGCTGGGATTACAAGCATGAGCCACCCACCTGGCCTTGAGTTGATTTTTGAATATGGTGTAAGACCAATTCATTCTTCTGCAAGTGAATATCCAGTTTTTCCAACACCGTTTATTGAAGAGGCTTTCCTTTTCCTATTGTGTGGTTCTGTCTCCTTTGTTAAAAATCAATAGGATGAAAATGTGTGCATTCATTTCTTGGCTTTCTGTTTGGTTCTGTTGGTCAATATGTCTATTTTTATACCACTACCATGCAGTTTTAATTATTATAGCTTTGTAATATAGCAAGAAGTCAGGTAGTGCGATGCCACCAGCTTTATTCTTTTTGCTCAAGATTGCCTTGGCTGGTCAGAGTTTTTCTGTGGTTCCAAATACGTTTTAGAACTTTTTTCTATATCTGTGAAAAATGACATTTTAATTTTAATAGGGATTACATTGAATCTATAGGTTTATCTTCTTATTGAGTTATAACTGTTCTTAAATATTCTAGATGCAAATCTCATTATCAAATATATTATTGTAAATCATTTTTTCCAGTTTGTGGGCTTGCCTTTTTCTTTTCTTTTCTTTTCTTTTTGAGACAGAGTCTCGCTCTGTTGCCCAGGCTGGAGTGCAGCGGTGCGATCTCCGCTCACTGCAAGCTCCGCCTCCTGGGTTCATGCCATTCTCCTGCCTCAGCCTCCCGAGTAGCTGGGACTACAGGCGCCCACCACCATGCCCGGCTAATTTTTTTTGTATTTTTTTAATAGAGACGGGGTTTCACCGTGTTAGCCAGGATGGTCTCGATCTCCTGACCTCGTGATCCACCTGCCTTGGTCTCCCAAAGTGCTGGGATTACAGGCGTGAACCACTGTGCCTGGCCTTATTTTCTTTTTTTTAAAAAGTGTCTTGTTAAAAGAAAAATTTTTAATTGTGCTAAAGTCTTCTTTATCACCTTTTTCTATTAAAGTCAGAGCTTTTGTGTCTGTTTAAAAAGAAATCTTTGCCTACTCTAAGATTACAAAGATTTCCTTCTGTGTTTTCTTCTGGAATATTTATAGCTTTAGATTTTGCATGTATGTCTTTGGTCCATTTTGAGTTAATTTTTGTGTACGGTGTAAAACAAAGGTCAAAGTTCACTTTTGGCACATGGATATCCAGTTGTTGCGGAACCATTCTCTGAAAAGACTAGCCTTTCCTCATTGAAATAACTTGACAACTTTGTCAAAAATCAACAATACCTGTCGGATTCTGGATTTTCTATTCCATTTTATTAATCTTTTTTTTTTTTGAGATGGAGTCTCACTCTGTCACCCAGGCTGGAGTGCAGTGGCACTATCTTGGCTCACTGCAAGCTCCGCCTCCCTGGTTCATGCCATTCTCCTGCCTCAGCCTCCCAAGTAACTGGGACTACAGGTGCCTGCCACCATGCCTGGCTATTTTTTTCTATTTTTTAGTAGAGATGGGGTTTCACCATGTTAGCCAGGATGGTCTCAATCTCCTGACCTCGTGATCTGCCCGCCTTGGCCTCCCAAAGTGCTGGGAGTACAGGCATTTCATTAATCTTTGTCTGTCCTTCTATCCATGAGCCAATACCACTCTGTCTTAATTACTGTGGCTTTACAAATAAATCTTGAGGCTGGGCATAATGGCTAATGCCTGTAATCCCATAACTTTGGGAGGCTGAGGCAGGTGGATCACCTGAGACCAGCCTGGCCAACATGGTGAAACCTCATCTCTACTAAAAAATAGAAAAATAGCCGGGCTTGGTGGTGCCCACCTGTAATCCCAGCTACTGGGGAGATTGAGGCAGGAGAATCACTTGAACCCAGGAGGCAGAGGCTGCAGCCAGCTGAGATTGGGCCACTGTACTCCAGCCTAAGTGACAGAGAGAGACTCCATCTAAAAAAAAAAAAAAAAAAAACTTTAAATCAGGTAGTATAAGTCCTCTAACTTTGCCCTTATTTTTCAAAGTTGTTTTTGTGGTTCTAGGGCCTTTGCATTTCCATATAAATTTTAGAATTAGTTTGTCAAATACAGAAATACTTGCTGGGATTTTGCTTGGGATTGCATTGAATCAATAGATAAATTTGGAGAGTGTTAACATCTTAATATTGAGTTTCCCAATCCATGAACATGGTATATCTCTTTTTTCTTTCTTTCTTTCTTTTTTTTTTTTTTTTGACAGAGTCTCACTCTGTCACCCTGGCTAGAGTGCAGTGGCATGATTTCGGCTCACTGCAACCTCTGCCTCCTGGGTTTGAACTAGTCTCCTGCCTCAGCCTCCCACGTAACTGAGATTACAGGTGGATACCACCACACATGACTAATTTTTTTGTATTTTTGGTAGAGACGGGATTTTGCCATGTTGGCCCAGTTGGTCTTGAAATTCTGACCTCAGGTGATCTACCCACCTTGGCCTCCCAAAGAGCTGGGATTACAGACGTGAGCCACCGCACCTGGCCTGTCTCTTTATTTATTTAGTTCTTTAATTTACCTCAACAATATTTTATATTCGGTGTATAGGACTTACAGTATTTTGTAAAATGTGTCCCTTTTTCTTATTTTTGGTACTTTTCTAAATGGCGTTTCTTTTTTTATTTTTTTTTATTTTTTATTTTTTTTGAGACAGAGTCTCTCTCTGTCGCCCAAGCTGGAGTGCGGTAGCACGATCTCAACCCATTGCAACCTCCACCTCTTGGGTTCAAGCGATTCTCCCAACTCACCCTTCTGAGTAGCTGGGATTACAGGCATGCACCACCACAACACCCGGCTAACTTTTTGTATTTTTAGTAAAGACAGGGTTTCGCCATGTTGGCCAGGCTGGTCTTAAACTTCCAACCCCAAGTGATCTGCCTGCCTCAGCCTCCCGAAGTGCTAGGATTACAGGCGTGAGCCACTGTGCCCAGCCTTGAAATGGCATTTTAATGTCATTTTCTAATTGTTTGTTCCTAATATATATAAATACAGTTTACTTTTGTATATTCACCTTGTATCTTGTCATCTTGATAAATTCACTTATTAGTTCTAGTAGCTTCATTGTAGATTACTTAGAATTTTTTATGTACATGATTGTGTTGTCTGTGAATAAAGGCAGTTTTACTTTTACTTTTCAGGAGGTGCCTTTTATTTATTATTCTTGCATTATTACATTGTCCAATATAATGATGAAGAGAATTCTTTTGATTTTGGAGGTAAAATTGTGCTATTGTTTTTTCTCTGGACAATTGTGTGTTTTTACCACTTGATTCTTTCCCACCACATATTTGTCAACAGAGAGCTCTTCAGAAGACTTGATCAGAGCTTTTGAAGTAGCCCCAATTACTCCAGTCTGACCTCTAAAATCTGAACTCTCCCTATTTCTCCAATATTCCCACCTCATCTTTCCTACAGGAAGCCTCTGATTCAGCTAGTCTGACTGGGGAAAGGAGCCTTCTTTCGTAGGTTTTTGTCCACGTGATATTCCCTCCTTCTGCTTACTTAAATCATCTCCCATTCTTCAATGCCTGGCTTGAAGAAACCCCTCTTGCAGCAAGCTCTTCTGTGGCCAACTTTCAGCACATCATTCTTTCTTTCAGCATCTGCTGTCTTGACTATATGTATACCATTCATTGAGCACCATCTGTGTGCCATCACCTTACTTAAGAATCACAGCTTCAGACTCTGGCTTTCTCTAGAATAGAGAAATACAGCCAGGAATGGTAGAAATTGGGATTTGTCCTGGGGATGCCTGTCCCCAAAGTTCAAGGAGACACCGCCTCTGCCTACCTCCTTCTCTGATCTCAGCATGAGTTCAGCACTTGACACATTATTAAGCATTTATCATGTTCATGGTTCTTTTTCATCCTGATATCAGCCACTTCTGGAACTTACTCCAAGACTTTTGTACCTTGGGTGAATGGCCCTTTCCTAGAATCAGTGTCTTTAACTGCAAACCAGGGGTGTCCAATCTTTTGGCTTCCCTGGACCACATTGAAAGAAGAAGAATTGTCTTGGGCCACATATAAAATACACTAACACTAACAATAGCTGATGAGTTTTTGTTTGTTTGTTGTTTGTTTGTTTGTTGTTTGTTTGCTTGCTTGTTTTTGAGACGGAGTTTTGCTCTTGTTGCCCAGGCTATAGTGCAATGGTGCAATCTCGGCTCAACGCAACCTCCGCCTCCCAGGTTCAAGCAATTCTCCTGCCTCAGCCTTCCGAGTAGCTGGGATTACAGGCATGCGCCACCATGCCTGATTTTGCATTTTTATTTGAGATGGGGTTTCTCCATGTTGATCAGGCTGGTCTCGAACTCCTGACCTCAGTGATCCACCTGCCTTAGCCTCCCAAAGTGCTGGGATTGCAGGCCTGAGCCACCGTGCCCGGCCTTTTTTGTTTGTTTGTTTAAGCAAAAAAAAAAAAAAAAAATCATGTTTTAAGAAAGTTTACAAATTGTGTTGGGCTGCATTCAAAAGCCATCCTGGGCCGCACGTGGCCCATGGGCTACAGGTTTGACAAGCTTGCTGTAAACCCTCTCTCCCCTTGCTGGAGTGTTGTTACCAGAGTCCAGGAAACAAGGAATATAGGGAAAGGCAAGGACTTTAGGATCAGATCAGCCTGGATTCCAGTTGCTACTTGGCAACTGACTTGCTGGGTGATCTTGGACATCTCTCTCTGTCACTCAGGCTGAAATGCAGTGGTGCAATCATGGCTCACTATAGCCTCGACCTCCTGAGCTCAACCAGTCCTCCCACCACAGCTTCCCAAATAGCTGGAACTATAGGCACACGTCACCATGGCCAGCTGGAAAAAAAAATCTTTTTTTGAGACAGAGTATCGCTTTGTGGCCAAGGCTGGAGTGCAGTGGCAGGATCTCAGCTCACTGCAACCTCCGCCTCCTGGGTTCAAGCCATTCTTGTGCCTCAGCCTCCTGAGTAGCTAGGACTACAGGCACCCACCACCATGCCCAGCTATTTTTTTTTTTTTTTTTTTTTTTTTAAGTAGAGACAGGGTTTCACCATGTTGGCCAGGCTGGTCTCTGTCTCCTGGCCTGAAGTGATCTGCCCACCTCAGCCTCCCAAAGTGCTGGGATTACAGGTGTGAGCCATTGTGCCCAGCCTTTTTTTAAGTGTAGAGACAGAGTTTTGCCATGTTGCCTAGGCTGGTCTTGAACTCCTGAATTCAAGTGATCTTTCTGCCTTGGCTTCTCAAAGTGCTGGGATTATAGGTGTGAGCCACTGTACCCAGCCCAGATAATTTTTTGTTGTGGGAAGCAGTTCTCTGCATTGTAGCATGTTTAGCAGTATCTCTGGCCTTTGCCTATTAAATGCCAGTAACATCCACCGCCCAGTTGTAACAACAGAAAATGTCTTCAGATACTGCCAAATATCCCCCAAGAAATAAAATCACTCCCGGTGAAGAACCACTGCTCTGGCCGGATGCAGTGGCTCATGCCTGTAATTCTAGCACTTTGGGAGGCCGAGACGGGCGGATTACTTGAGGTCAGGGGTTCCAGACCAGCTGGCCAACAATGGCAAAACTCCATCTTTGCTGAAAATACAAAAATGAGCTGGGCATGATGGTGCAAGCCTGTAGTCCCAGCTACTTGGGTGGCTGAGGCAGGAGAATCACTTGAACCCAGGAGGCAGAGGTTGCAGTGAGCCAGGATTGTGCCACTGCACTCCAGCCTGGGAGACAGAGAAAGACTCTGTCTCAAAAGAAAACAACAACAACAACAAAAAAAGAACCACTGCTCTATAGTCTAGAGTCCTGGACAATGACATTCTTCCTCTACAATATGATGGAACTAAGGAAGCTTCTTTCCTGCTAAGGGGCAGTAAAAGAAAGAAACTGCAGACAGATATGATACTAACGGTAACACCATTTTACATTTGTTACAGCCTATTCCCACATACAAAGTGCCTTCTCAGACAGTATTTTGTCTGATTGTCCTAGGCAAGAGATCTCATAGAAGGAAGTGTCTACACAGTGCCTGGCATTTATTAGATAAAATCTCGGTTTCCTTTCATTGGCTAAATGAAGCAATGGATGTTCAATGAGGTTAAGTGACTGTCCCAAGGTTACACAGTGAGTAAGGGGGTATTGTCATTTGTTATGTTAATTCACCTGTTAGTTATTGTTCTCAACTCTTTTACTATAATCCTAAGAAGAGTTTCTGCTTTCACTGGAAGGAATAAGGCAAACTAGAAGAATCTTAGGAGCCAGGTGTGGTGGCATGCACCTGTAATCCCAGCTACTTGGGAGGCTGAGGCAGGAGGATCATTTTTGCCCAAGAGTTCTAATCCATCCTGGAAAACATAGTGAGACCCCCGTCTCTAAAAAACTAAGTAAATACAAATTTAAAAAAGAATCTTCGAATCTTTGTTTCCTGGAGTTGAGAGGGTTCTACAGGCTATCTAGTTCAATTCCCTACTACATGGTTCTCAACCCTACATTAGGGTTGCCAGATAAAATACAGGATGATCAGTTAAATTTGAATTTCAGATAAACAATGAATACTTTTAAAATATAAGTATTTCCCATGCAATCGTCATGAATACCAGGTCTCTTGTGGCCCTGGGACTCCCCTCTGGAGAATGATGAGTGGGGCTTGATTGGCCTTGTGATCAGAAGAGAGAGCTGATATTCTAAGGGATTAGGAAGAAGGGGCCTCTGCTTGGGCTTTTCCATCTCACTGAGAGTGGTCAACCCCCTCCCTGGGAGGAATTGAGTCTTTCATGGGGAACCTAGCTGGTACAAGAGTTCAGATAGTTCTTGGGACATTCAGAAACAGACATGGATGATGACAATAAGGTTAGTCAATCAGCAAATGCATGTTGAACACCTACTATGGGCCATGCACTTGCTAGGTTAAAGGAATACCCTGGAGATAAAACGCCCAGCAATTTCAAGGCAAGGAAAATAATTTCCACCTGTGCAATGGGAAGAAGGTGTAAAAGAGAGCACAGCAAGCAGTTTGGTGTTGGGAGCACACTGAAACAGACAGCTGATGTGTTCAGATTTGCTTTTTAGAACATTCAGCTTGCAAAGTGAAAGATGGATTGGAGGAGGGAGCTGGGGCCAAAGAGATAATCTAGAAGGATGATAAATCTCCATGTCTCCTTCAATCCCTACATCTTTTATTTTTTTTTTTTTATTTTTTGAGACAGGGTCTGGCTTTGTCACCCAGGAGGGAGTGCAGTGGCGTGATCACTGCTCACTGCAACCTCTGCTTCCTGGGCTCAAGCGATTCTACTGCCTCAGCCTCCCAAGTAGCTGGGACTATAGGTGCGTGCCACCATTCCTGGCTAATTATTTTGGTATTTTTTGTAGAGATGGGGTTTTGTCATGTTGCCTAGGATGGTCTTAAACTCTTGGGCTCAAGCAATCTGCCTGCCTCAGCCTCCCAAAGTGCTGGGATTACAGGTGTGAGCCACTGTGCCTGGGCAATCCCTACACCTTAACCCTTACCTGTGGCTTCTATCTCTCTGTGTGAGGATAGCGATTTGGCTGCTCTAAAGGAACCCAGTTGGGCACGGTGGCTCACACCTGTAATCCCAGCACTTTGGGAGGCCAAGGCGGGGGGATCACTTGAGGTCAGGAGTTCGACACTAGCCTGGCCAATATGGTGAAACTTCATCTCTACTAAAAATACAAAAAATTACCCTGGCATGGTGGTGGGTGCCTGTGATCCCAACTACTCGGGAGGCTGAGGTGGAAGAATCTCTTGAACCTGGGAGGTGGAGGTTGCAGTACAGTAAGCCAACATTGCTCCACTGCACTCCAGCCTGGGTGACAGAGCGAGACTCTATTTCAAAAAAAAAAAAAAAAAAAGAAACGCAAAGTAAACAATCTGAAATGAAGATGGAGGCAGAATGCAGCAGAAAGAAGGAGACAGGAGAGATGTGAAAGATGTTAAGGTGTGGGGCAGTAATGGCCCCTCAACATCTGTTCTCCCCCTCTGCTGTGTTAACGGAACCCCTGATTTTCATTTGGGCACATGGCCACACAGCATAAAAAGTTTATTTCTGGCCGGGCGCAGTGGCTGATGCCTGTAATCCCAGCACTTTGGGAGCCAAGGCAGGTGGATCACAAGGTCAGGAGTTCGAGACCAGCCTGGTCAACATAGTGAAACCCGTCTCTACTAAAAATACAAAAATTAGCCAGGCATGGTGGTGCATGCCTGTAATCCCAAGGAGGCTGAGGCAGGAGAATTACTTGAACCCAGGAGGCGGAGGTTGTGGTGAGCTGAGATCGCGCCACTGCACTCCAGCCTAGGTGACAGAGCAGGACTCTGTCTCAAAAAAAAAAAAAAAAAGTTTATTTCCTAGTGATCTGGGTGTGGCTATGTGACTAAGTTCTTTTGACCTGTAAGATGTGCTGTAGTGCCCTTAAAAGAATATGGTCAAGGTGGTCAGCCATCTTGGGTCATGCAGATGGTGGCAAGATCCTACGGATGGCAGAGCTATAAGCCTCGGCCCCTGAGAGTTCATAGAGCAGAGTAGAGATCTGACTTTCACGTGGGATAGAAATAAACTTCTACTTCATTTGAGACTCTGTTTCCTCTGAGTTCCTGTTATAACCACCAAATCTCTATCCTCACACAAAGTGGTAGAAGCCACAGGTGAGGACTAAGATGTAGGGATTAAAGGGTACGTGGGGAGGAAGCTGTAGACTTTTTGTTGTACCCAGGCAGTGTTTCTTTCTTAAAATGTGGTCTTTGGGCCGGGTGCAATGGCTCAAGCTTAGATCCCAGCACTTTGGGAGGCTGAGGCAGGAGGATCACTTGAGGCCAGGAGTTTGAGAGTAGCCTGGCCGACATGGCAAAACCTCATCTCTAATAAAAATACAAAAAAGTTGGGCCAGGCACAGTGGCTCACACCCGTAATCCCAGCACTTTGGGAGGCCGAGGCAGGCAGATCAACTGAGGTCAGGAGTTCAAGACCAGACTGACCAACATGGTGAAACCCCATCTCAGCTAAAAATACAAAATTAGCCTGGTGTGGTGGCCCATGCCTGTAATCCCAGCTATTTGAGAGGCTGAGGCAGGAGAATCCGCTTGAACCCAGGAGGCGGAGGTTGCAGTGAGCCAAGATAGCGCCATTGCACTCCAGCCTGGGCAACAAGACTAAAACTACGTCTCAAACAAAAACAAAAACAAGGTAGCTGGGCGTGGTGGCATGTGCTTGTGGTCCCAGCTACTTGGGAGGCTGAGGCATGAGAATCACTTGAACTGGGGAGGCAGAGGTTGCAATGAGCCAAGACTGCACCACTGCACTCTAGCCTGGGCGACAGATCGAGACTCTGTCTCAAAAAAAAAAAAAAAAAAAAATGGACTATCTGCAATGTAATCACTCCAGGGGTGTCCAGGAATCCGTGAAAGCAGGTGGTTAGTAGGGACTCCAGTCTTGGCAATCTTCTCAGCTACCCCTTGGCTGGCTCAGCTAGAGAGCTGGGGAATTTCAGGGCTGCTTGCTTTTCACAGGTGTCTCCGTGGTGACCTGTCCTCCAGGCAGCCCCCAAAGCAGAACAGCCTACTCCTTTTTTTTTTTTTTTTTGAGATGGAGCCTCACTCTTGCCCAGGCTGGAGTGCAGTGGTGAAATCTGGGCTCACTGCAACCTCCGCCTCCCAGGTTAAAGCGATTTTCCTGCCTCAGCCTCCCCAGTAGCTGGGACTACAGGCACAAGCCACTGCCCCCGGTTAATATTTGTATTTTTAGTAGAGACAGGGTTTTGCCATGTTGGTCAGGCTGGTCTCGAACTCCTGAACTCAGGTAATCCACCCTCCTCAGCCTTCCAAAGTGTTGGAATTACAGGCGTGAGCCACTGCATTCAGCTGCAGCCTTCTTCTACCAGTGGTTCAATGACTGCCTCTGCCCCAGGGTTTATTTCTGGCCGTCAGATTTGGGACTCTAAGGAAGATCTTCTTATACCAATAGAAGACAGACGCTTCATGCTAGGCCAGGTCACATCATTTCTCACTTAGATTCCACAAGGCCCTGCATGATCTGGCATCTGCCTACTTCTCTGGTCCTTCTCCTTATCATGTGGCTCCAGGCAGCACTAGCTCTATCATATCAGCCTTTTCCTTCCTTTAGGCTTTTGCCCAAGCCACTCTATCTGCTTAGGACTTCCTTACCATTTTTTCCCTAACTCTTATTAAAATTTCAGCTTTCAGCTTTAATGTCATTCCTCAAGGAAGTCTCTGAATCCCACAATAGGTCAAGTGCCACTTTTATACACACTCACAGCTCCCTGTACTTATCATAATCCCTGTGCTTATCATAATTGTAATCACATAATAATCAGAATAACTATTTGTTTAATGTTTATCTTTTCCACTGTTCTCTAAGAGCCATAGCAGCTGGGAACATGCCCATTTTGTTTGCTGATGTACAGTTAGAACTTAGGGAGAACTTGACAGATATGCAGTGCTCAAGAAACATTTGTTGATGAATGAAAGTCCCTGCCAATCACAACATTCCAGGAAGTCCCCTACAGCCTGGCTCAGAGAAACAAATAAGCAATTAGGATGGGACCTCCTTTTCTCTCAGGACCTGGGGCCAGTTGATGTTGAAAGAGAATCGTTTGGGGGTAAGAGGAGAGCTCAGTAAAAGACAAAGGCCTGTATTTTTCCATATTCAGAAATGACCTCTTCCCCAAACTCCTAACTGATGGTTTCTGACTTGCTAATCTACTCTAAACTCAGCAGAGAGCTAAGGGATCAGGTAACTAAAATATTGATTAAGGCTGGGCGTGGTGGCTCACACCTGTAATCCTAGCACTTTAGGAGGCCAAGGAGAGCAGATCACTTGAGCCCAGGAGTTCAAGACCAGCTTAGGCAACATGGCAAAAACCCATCTCTACAAAAAATACAAAAATTAGCCAGACATGGTGGTGAGCATCTGTGGTCCCAGCTACTCAGGAGGCTGAGGTGGGAGGATTGCCTGAGCCTAGGAGGTTGAGGCTGCAGTGAACTGTGATTGCACCACTGCACTCCAGCCTGGGTGAGAGAGTAAGACCTTGTTAAAAAAAAAAAAAAAAAAAAAGAAAATTTGATTAATAACTAAGACATAGCAAATACTTTTAAACTACTAAATCCTAAGATATAACTGAATAAATAAAGTATTTGGCTTGTAAATAAGGTGTTAGAAGATAACTAAGGTGGTGTTAGTAGATAATCAAATATTAACTACTCAAGTGTTATTTGATAACCAAGGGATTAATTTAAAACCAAGATCTTAGCAGATACTGGTTAACCAATGACTAAGGTGACTGTTGATAAGGATTTAAAGTAACTTTTTCCTAGGGGACTCTTGCATGTATTAGAGGGGGGTTGGGAACAGCAGAAGCTGATAAAGTCCACAGAAACACAGGGCTAATTGGGAGCGTAAGGTCCTCAGACGGACTCTAAATTTCTGAGGAAATGGGCTTGCTCATCTTTGGTTTCCAGATAGGGCTTAGGCAGGAGCAGGCATGGAGTTGGTACTCCAAAGGCTTATGACATAATTTAATTTCATCTATTAAGGGCCTAGCACTGTGCTCAGGAGAGGGAAGGGAGGGCAGTTTCTTAAGTGATGGGAATAGAGTGTGATAAGTAAGTGGTGTGTGAAAGAGAAAGCTCCAGGGGCTGCCAAGGCAGAATGGAAGGGAGAGCAGATGTGTTGGGGAAAGATGAGGGTGAATTTAGTTCTGGCCATGTTGAATTGAGGTATCTGTAGAGATGCCCAGGAGGCAGGTGGATGGGAGTCCTGCATGGATATAGAGATTTGGGTGTCAGCAGGGTGTAGATGGTGGTCAAAACCATGGGAAAAAATGAGCTGGCTACAGAACGGTATATGGGGTGAGAAACTAGATCAGACTAGAACCCCATGGAAGACCAACAGGGAAGGGGTGGATAGAGAAGGGAGAGACATTGACACTGAGAACGAAGGAACACTTAGAGAGATGGGGGAAACTAAGAGAAGACAGAGGAACGCCAAGGACCGAGCAAGTGCCAGGGAGAAGAGCAGAGTCTGCAGTGTCACATGCAGCTGAGAGGTCAAGGAAGACAAGGTGAGAGATATTCATTGGCTTTAACGATAAGGCACTAAGTGATGGCCTTGGTGGGCACAGTGAGGGGAGGCATACATACGGGTGGTGGAGACAGTGGGTATGGAGGGAGGAAGGTAGCTGCAGGAGACTGTGGTTCCCAGATGTCCAGTGTGAACATGTGTGCAAGCTGGGCTTCACTGTGTGTGTGTGCATGCACACAAGTACATGCAGAGCTGCAGCTAAGAGGAGGGTGTGTAAGGGCAGCTGAGAGGCCACCATAGGAGGGGCTGTGGTCACCCCATGGACAGCCTTCACTTTACTTTTGTTAGCTTTTGAGAAGCACCATGAAGGGAGACTGTGAAAATCCTAAGCACGGTTTAACCCTTTCATTGTCCAGTGAGAAAACGGAGGACAGGAGAGAGGGAAGAATTTGCTGTGAGTCAGGGGCACAACAGGAACTTGAATCTGAGTCTCCAGACTTCTAGAAGAGTGACCTTAGATAAAGTACACCTGAAATTCTTATTGGCCAATGAATTATCTACCAGTGACTCTGCCCATCACCCCATTTTTTTTATAGTATTTTGGTCTGTTGCTCAGGTTGGAGTGCAGTGGCGTGATCATAGCTCACTGCAGCCTCAAACTCCCAGGCTCCAGTGACTCTCCTCACTCAGCCTCCTGAGTAGCTGGGACTATAGGTGTGCACCATCACACCTGGCTAATTTTTTGATTTTTTGTAGAGATGAAGTCTCACTGTGTTTCCCAGGCTGCACCCCAATTTTTAGCCACCTTTCCACATTTATATAAAGGTGAAATATGGATTTGACATACAAAATTCAAACATTACAGAAACTTAATGAAAATGACTCCTGTTATCCTACCTCAGCCCCTCGCAGACAACCACCATTAAGAGTTTGGTCTATATTTTTCCCTCTCTCTTTCCCTCCCACTTAACATTGTAAATTTTTTAAAAATTTGGGACAGGGTCCACTCCCATTGCCCAGGCTGGAGTACAGTGGCGCAAACACGGCTCACTGCAGCCTCAACCTCCTGGGCTCAAACAATCCTCCTGCCTCAGCCTCCTGAGTAGCTGGGACTACAGGTGTGAGTGACCACGCCTGGCTAATTTTTAAATTTTTTTGCAGAGACACGGTCTTGCCATGTTGCCCAGACTGGTCTTGAACTCCTGGGCTCAAGCAATCCTCCCACCTCTGCCTCCCAAAGTGCTGGGATTACAGGCGTGAGCCACCTAATGCACCCAGCAACATTGTACATTTTTAATAAAAACATTACACTTGTTCATACTGGTTTTTCTGGGTATGTGAATGTGTTCATTCTGTTTTACAACTTATCATTTTTTCACTTTTGGACAACTTTCTATGGTAGCATATGGAGACTTCATTCATTCATTTTAATAACCATATTAGTTTATAATTTGAGGCAAGGTCTCCTCTGTCACCCAGGCTGAGTGCAGTGGCATGGTTACGGTTCGCTGCAGCCTTGACCTCCCAGGCTCTAGCAATTCTCTCACCTCAGCCTCCTGATAGCTGGGACTACAGGCATGCACTGCCATGGCCAGCTAATATTTTTTTGTAGAGGTGGGGTCCCACTATGTTGCATGGTGGCGTGTGCCTGCAGTCCTAGTTACTCAGGAGGCTAAGGATGCAGTAAGCTACGATCGAGCCACTCTTCTTCAGCCTGGGCAACAGAGTGTGACCCTGTCTCAAAACAAAAAGCAAAAACAAAAGGTATGAGCATTTTGTTTTAAAAGATATTGCCAAATCACCCTCCAAACACTTGTGCCAGTTTATCGTACCACAGTTTATGTGAATGCCCATTTCCTCACATCCCTGCCAACCAGGGGTATTATCATTAAAAAAATATCTTTCGGCCGGGAATAGTGGCTCACGCCTGTAATCCCAGCACTTTGGGAGGCCGAGGCGGGCGGATCACTGGGTCAGGAGATTGAGACCATCCTGGCTAACATGATGAAACCCCGCCTCTACTAAAAATACAAAAAAAAAAAAATTAGCTGAGCGTGGTGGTGGGCGCCTGTAGTCCCAGCTACTCGGGAGGCTGAGGCAGAATGGCGTGAACTTGGGAGGCAGAGCTTGCAGTGAGCCGAGACTGTGCCACTGCACTCCAGCCTGGGTGACAGAGCTAGACTCCATCACAAAAACAAAACAAACAAACAAAAAACTTTCCAACTTCAATGAGGCTGGACATCTTTTTGTATCCTTATTACGCATC
This sequence comes from Homo sapiens, assembly GCF_000001405.40. NCBI lineage: Eukaryota > Metazoa > Chordata > Mammalia > Primates > Hominidae > Homo > Homo sapiens. The sequence goes on along the minus strand of NC_000001.11, from coordinate 52,610,023 downwards.
TATAGTCTTCCGTGAACTATCTATTCATCTCCTTTGCCTATTTGTTATTGAGGTGTACTTTTGGCTAGTGGATTACTCAGTGAATTTTTTTTTTTTTTGAGACAGAGTCTCTCTCTGCTGCCCAGGCTAGAATGCAGTGGCGTTATCTCCGCTCACAGCAACCTCTGCCTCCCGGATTCAAGCGATTCTCCTGCCTCAGCCTCCAGAGTAGCTGGGATTACAGGCACCTGCCATCATGCCCGACTAATTTTTATATTTTTGTAGAGACGGGGTTTCACCATGTTGGCCAGGCTGGTCTCAAACTCCTGACCTCAGGTGATCCACCCGCCTCAGCCTCCCAAAGTGCTGGGATTACAGGCATGAGCCACTGTGCCCGGTCATGCCAGGCTAATTTTTGTATTTTTATTTTTTTATTTTTATTATTATTATTATTATTGAGACGGAGTCTTGCTCTGTCGCCCAGGCTAGAGTGCACAGGCTGGAGTGCAGTGGCACGATCTCTGCTCACTGCAAGCTCCGCCTCCCGGGTTCACACCATTCTCCTGCCTCAGCCTCCAGAGTAGCTGGGACTACAAGCGCCCGCCACCACGCCCGGCTAATTTTTTGTATTTTTAGTAGAGACGGGGTTTCACCGTATTAGCGAGGTTGGTCTCGATCTCCTGACCTCGTGATCCGCCCGCCTTGGCCTCCCAAAGTGCTGGGATTACAAGCGTGAGCCACCGCGCCCAGCCTAATTTTTGTATTTTTAGTAGAGATGGGTTTTCACCATGTTGGCCAGGCTGGTCTCAAACTCTTGACCTCAGGTGATCCACCTACGTTGGCCTCCCAAAGTGCTGGGATGACAGGCGTGAGCTACCGTGCCCGGTCACTGAGTTCTTATTGGGCAATAATGATTGGCTTAACCAAAGGCCTGGCAGCCTTTGTACCAAACTGCTAACACTGTTTACCTCTAGGGAGGGAGACTATGGAAAATGAGGAGGATACTTTCATTTTTATTTTATATCGTGAGGTATTGTTTGGATTGTTACAATGAACTTGCATTTCTTTTGTAATGAAGAAAATAATACAGAGGAAATAACAACAACTAAACCTTTGGCCTGGATTATCATCGGCTGGAAATTCATGTTGGATGCAAGTTTTTATTGATAACAAGTTATTTTTTGGTTTATATGCAAAAAATGTTCATTGAATGCCTCCTATTTGGCTGGCACTGCCTAGGCACTTTCACAGGTATTTCATCCTAATCCTCACAACAGCCCTATGAGGTAATCATTGGTCCCAGTTTACAGAAGCCTTGGGTGGGAGATTATTGCTTGATATACTTCTATTTGCCACACATTTTTGTTGGCAAGACGTTCGTATCGGCTGGTGATTCACTGGTCAAGAGCTCTCATTGGCCAGGAGTTCCTATTTGTTGCTGTAAGATTCAAATAATCAAAATACTAGAATTTTTCCCCCACAAGAATGATGGGACCAATGGCATAAGAGTAAAGGAAGGAGAGTCAGTGGGTCTCTCCCTTTGAAGCACCATTTGAGTTTGCATTGGTCAGCCCCACACAGGTGGGCGGGATGAGGTGGTGGAGGAGGAGACGCGGTGGTTATAAGTCTTCTCGCTTCAGTAGGATGAGCTTCCTCACGAGCGCTGTGATCTGGGGTCTGACCTCCTCCACTGACACAGTTGGGTCCCAAGCCCCTACCACCTTTCCATCTGGGGCTACTAGGTACTTCCAGAAGTTCCAGGTGGGCTCCTTCCCAGAAGTCTCTAGAGAAAAAGGAAGGAGAGCAAAGCGTGCTACCCTGCGTACCCTCTCCTGGGACTTCACTCTCAGTGTCCATCTTTCCCTGGTGGCAGCTAATCCTGATGCCCAGTCCACACCCCAGACCACTCCAACCAGAATCTCTGAGGGTGAGGCTCAGGCATCAGCATTTTTCAAAAGCCCCCTGGGAGATTCCAAAGTGGGGCCGAGGTTGAGAACGACTGCTGTAGGATTCTGTGACGTGCTTGATAAAGTGGTATCAAATCCTCCTTTATTAATGACTTCGAACTACTGAATAGTCTACACCCTATTCTCTAGTTCAGTTTTAATGGTTTCCAAATGTTAGTCCATGGACTGGTTTCATCAGAATCACTGGGGGTCAGGGGAGTGCTTAAAATAAAGATTCTTGGGCCCTGCTTCAGTAGGTCTCAGCCTTGTGCATTTTTAAGAGCTCCCCAGGTGCTTCTAAAAGCAAGGCCGGGTTTGATCTATAACTGTGAGAACTGGGAAGGAACTAATAAAAGAACACAGAGAAAAAAATCAACATTAGGACTGAGCCACAGAGCAAAACACAAACCTGCCGCAGTAAGGGACCTTTTGTTTGCTGCACTCTTGCTTCTCATTTACTCCTCCAGGTGAATGGGTTGCAGGGTGGGGTGGTGGCAAGGGATACAAAGGCCACCAGAAGCACGGAATCAGAAAAGGCAAAAATGGGGCCTCCAGAGGAGAAGGCCTGAGGGAAGAAATGGTCAGAATGGCAAGCTTAGCCCATGAGCCCATTCTGTGGCTCTGAGGCTTCTGCAGCTGGAGAAGGGATCTTGTTCTCAAATACTAAGATCTGGTATTTTAGCTTAGAAGGTCTCCCTCCATGGCCTACAGACTCCGCCACTGACTCAGGGTGAAGATGCCTGTCTACTATCTTGGTCAGCTTTCTCCAAGCAGGTGGCCTCCCCTGTCTATGCCTTGGTTTCTCCATCATATGTCCATAAACTCATCTAGTTCACACTGACTTAAATGTCTCCTTCTAGGAGCCCCTGAATGTGAAAACAGGATCCCAGAAAAGTCCAAAAGAGTGACTTCTGAGGGACAAGTGAGAGGCAGCAGGTATGGAGATATTCTTAGGCAGGAATACCCCTCAGCTTCTACCTGCCTCCACTCTCCTCAAAGATTAGTGCTGGAACAAAGCATCAGTCCACCTGAGATGATCAGGAAGGGGAAGGGGCCCCAGGTCACCCAACCAGCCAGTGGCTTCTGCTGCCCAGGGAGCCATGGCCTCAGCCAGCTAAGGGAGGTGTGAGGGGATGAAGAGACCAGGACTTACGGGCCAGGTACTTGAAGGCAGGATGGGCACCAGTACCGGTGACTGCAATCTTGCTAAACATGGGGAATGAGACACTGTAGGTGCGGCGGGCAAAGCTCTCAATCTCCTTGTTGCTGTCAGGCTCCTGTTGGCCAAACTGGTTGCAGGGGAAGGCGAGCACGTTAAAGTGGTGGGGGCCCAGGTCTCGCTGCAGCTGCTGCAGGGCTCGGTAGTGCTGGTCTGTGAAGCCGCACTCGCTGGCCACATTCACCACCAGGGACACCTGTATGACAGAAACAAAACAAAACAAAGCCCAGACAAGCCAGTGAAGAGGCATGAACCTGTACATGCCCTGACACATCCACATATGTGACTCCCTCAACAGTTAATACTGCCTCACACATACAAGAACACTGTGTACACATATGTAAATGTGTGTCCAGTGCTCTCACACATACACAAACACATGCACACAGACAGGCACATATGAAATCAAACATTCAGGAGCTTACAGATGTGTGCACACATACATGAACATCTGTGAACATAAGTATACAACATACATAAATAGGTATGCACATGCACCACGATACAAACATGTTAGCAAACACCACACATGCCCACACACACAGCACATCCACAGACTGGGGCACACATACTGGTGAGCACATACTGAGAACTGATAAGAGGGGGTACAAAGGGAGACCTGGGCTCAATTTTTGGCTCAGTCAGCTAGCACTCGCCACTCTGCACTGTGTCAGTCTCCCTTCTAGAATGTGAACCTACTGAGGGCAGGAGCTATGTCCACTTCATCTCTGGGCCTGGCATATGAAAAAGTCTCAGTAAGTTTCAGATGAATGAGTAAGTGTGCACACAAACACAAACGCCTGCATGGGAACATAGACACAGGTTTTCTTGAGAAAAGAACCCTCATAACTCCAGGGCAATCACCTTTTTGTCCCCCTCCTCTCCAGAGAACTAACACCACTTTTGTTGTTGTTGCTGCTGGAGCAATGGCATAATCATAACAGGACATCCCCCCAACCGTTTGCAGTCTCAAACTTCTGAGCTGAAGTGATCCTCCCACCTCAGCCTCTCAAATAGCTAGGACTACAGGCACGTGCCATCACACCTGGCTAATTTTTTAATTTTTACTTTTGGTAGAGACAGTTCTCGCCATGTTGTCCAGGCTGGACTCAAAAACTCTTAGCCTCAGGCAATCCTACCAGCTAAGCCTCTCAAAGTGCTAGGATTACAGTCATGAACCACCATGCCCAGCCTACCACTTTCTTTTATCATTAGACTAATCCTTAAATTTATTAAAGCCTTTAGGCAATAAATACAAAGCTGGCTAATGGAACTTGATTATAAGACTTTGATTAGAATTTTGGCTCAAATGCTATGTTTTTAGCTTCTAGGTATATATTATTAATGGATTTAAAACCCTAGCCGGTGCCTAGGCAGCCTAGCCCTATCCTCCATAATTGACATTTGGGTCAGATAATTCTTTGTTGTCGGGGGGATGTCCTGTTTATTTATTATCAGATGTTTGGCAGCATCCCTGGCCTCTACCCACTAGATGCCCAGTCTTGACAATCAACAATGTCTCCAGACATTGCCAATTGTGCCCTAAAGGGAATAATCACTCCTAGTTGAGAACTACTGGGCTAGATGATTGAACCACTGAGCTGTACCTCCTGTACCCTACCTCCACCAGGTGAGAAAGGACCCATGCCTGGGGCCACTGGCTATTAGAACAACCTCCTCAATTTGAGGTCAGCATACACCATACTGTGCCTGGAATGGTGAGAAACTGGGACTGTTAACTCCCTTCCTCAGTTAGGGTTCTTCCTTTTTTTCCCCCTGCTGGATCCCTGGGCAATGAGAACATTAAAGCTTTTTTTTTTTTTTTTTTTTTTTTAAAGACAGAGTCTTGCTCTGTTACCAAGGCTGGAGTGCAGTGGCGCGATCTTGGCTCACTGCAACCTCCACCTCCCGGGTTCAAGCAATTCTCCTGCCTCAGCCTCCTGAGTAGCTGGGATTACAGGCACACGCCACCATGCCCAGCTAATTTTTGTATTTTTTAAGTACAGACGGAGTTTCACCATGTTGGCCAGGCTAGCCTCGAACTCCTCACCTTGTGATCCACCCGCCTCAGCCTCCTGAAGTGCTGGGATTACAGGCGTGAGCCACTGCGTCCGGCCAAAGCTTGCTTATTTTTAACTCACAACTTGCATGTCTGCCCGCTCTTTTGGAAGGGGGAAAATCTGGCTTCTAGTTCCATCCCTGAAACCAAAAAGCTTGGTCCTTAGAAACCAAAACACAGACAGACACACCCAAGTACACACAGTTAATTTACATATGTACATATACAAGCACAGACACAGACTCAGATTTGTACACAGAAGAAGTAAACCATTCACAAAGGCACACACTACACATAACCCCACACATTCCCAAGTGGTCACCCATTCATCCATACTGGTCTAAATGACTATGGTCCCAATTAGCCTGAGGGCATCAACCATGTCAATCTTGCTCATGACTATGTCATCAGAGCTGGACCCAGTGTCAGACATGTAGTAGGAGCCAGTAAATGTTTGCAGGTGAAGGAATGAGCATATTGCCCAAGCAGCAAGCCTAGCCTGGGTTAACTCAGCACCAATTACAGCTTTTCTGGACTCCCTGTTCCCTGGTTTACTGCTGAACTTGGCAACTAAGAGCATAGACTCTGGAGCTGGACTGTCTGGGTTCAAATTCTTACTGTCTTACTAGCTGTGTGACCTTGTTCTATTTTTGTCTTAGCACTTACTACTACTAGGAATTACCTCGTGCATTTCTCAGTTCCTTGTTTATTGTCTTTCTTCTCCTTACCCCATGTAAGCTCCATTTAGTGGAAATGTATCTGTTTTGTTCACCACTGTATCCCCAGGGCCTGACCTAGTATCTAGTTAGTATACAGTAGGTGTTCAATAATGAACAACGAATTAATAAGTAGCAGAGCTGGTCAGACGCTAAACCTGGGGCTCTCTGGTGAGCTGCCCTAGAGAGAACAGGAGGCCTGAATTGGAGCGGGCCCTGTTCTTGGTTCTTTGCCCAGAGTTCTAAATGAAGTTCCTGCTGGGATCCACCAAACACAGGTGCAAAGCACTCTACAGTTTACTAAGTGCATCCACGCCTTCATCTGATTTGAAACTCACGACACTCTGGGGGACAATCAAGCAGGGATTACTGTCCCCAAGACTCCCAGCATAATCGAAAATTTCAAGGCTTATAGAGTACTGGTCTTCACTAAAGATGGTGTTGCTCCCAGGAGAAAAATGTTGACATCTATTTTTGTGTGGTTCATCCAAAACTGGACGCTGGCCCACCTGTTCATTAGATTTCAACTCCCCAGCCATTTCACACCAGTCCCCAGGTCCATCCTGAAGAGGTCCACTCTGGGAGTTCTTCACTGCACATAATGTGACATGCAGGCCTCTCAATGTAGTGTTCAAGGTCCCGCCTGCTCCCTTGCCAGTCGTTTCAGCCTCATCTTCCACCACTCGTAGCCTCCAGCTTTAGACTCTTTGAAGCACAACAGCTGGAACTCCTGGCCCCGCGCCCCCCCACCCCCTTCTTGCTGTTTGCTTCTTAGTCTTGCTAAAATCCACTCGTATTCAAAGACTCAACCCAGATACCCTTCCTCTCCGAAGTCTTCTCTGAGCTTAGATTCCCTCTTGGTAATGAGGGGGCAATTAGCCTGGATGACTCTTATGTGTGCCCCTGAGCTGCCATCTAAGGACTTGGCCTAGAGAGGACCCCGGATGTGGCGGTGGGGTTCTCTTCCAGGCCCCGTCTTTCTAGTGTAGTGTGACCTTGTGCGAATGCCTGCCCTCTCTGGGCCTTTGTGCCCTCTCCCAGGGATGATCCGTGTGAGGTCTCCGTGCATCTGAAATAACTCTCTCTCTGCCCTGCACATTGATCTCCACAGTGTTCTTCACTGGACTCCGAATCAGCCACTCCCCGTTCCAGATGCAGAAAATGAGGACGGGAGAGGGAAAGGCCGCACGATGCTACGGTTACTTTTTTCACCCGTGAATGGCAAAGGCTGGGCAGTGGTGCCCGGCCTCCCGGCGAAGGTCTGGACCCCGCTGCCCAAAGGTGCCGGTAGCGAAGTGGGCGCCGACTGCGAGCGCTTCGGGTTCCTCCGCGCCAAGGCCGTGCCACGTAGCCGCGGGCCGGGCCGGGCCGGGCGCGGGATGGGGGCGCCGCGCCAGAGGTCACGGCCGAGCGGGGCGGGGGCCGGGGTTTGGCGGCCGCGCGGCTGGAGCGTCCTCGGAGCCACACCGCGCGGGGGACCGGGCTGCGGGGCGTCCCCAGCAGGCCCCGCCAGGGCGAGGCCGGGCCCAGCGGCGCCGCCAGACCCCGCGCACTCACCGATCCGCGGTACTTCTCCAGCGACACCAGTTTGCCCCGGATGTTGACCGCCTTGAAGTCGTAGAAGTCCTGCTCCTGCTGCGCGCAGGCCGCAGCCCACAGGAGCAGCCACGCCGCTGCCACCGTCGCCGCCACCATGGCTTGTTCCGGAGGTGGCGGCGTCGCGAGGGCAAAGACGGGGCGGGGGGATCTAGCGCGGGGGGCGGGAGGAGGCGGCTCTGGCGCCGCTCGGCCCGCAAGGCAGGACGCGCCGCGTTCTCGTTCCCTCCGCAGGCGGTGGATGTCCGGCTCTGGACCTCAGTTTCACCGTCTGTCCTGAGGCAGCGCACCCCTGCCCCGGACCCCAGAGCCAGGGTTTCAGGATTCTGTCCCCTGAGACCGGAGTTCGTTTCAGTGAGGCTCCCTCTTGTCCCAGGAAACAGCGACTTGGCAGGGACAGGGAGGCAAAAATCTGAGAGCTCAGCTTCTCATTAGTGCAGCGGCCTTAGGCTGGCCTGGTCACGCCCCCACTCCGACCTCAGTTTCTCCACATGTTAAGTGGAGCTAGTCGGTATAGGATGGAAGTAATAGAAAAACGGATGCGAAACACTTTAACAGTTGAATGGTGCCTGCAAACTTCAGGTGAATGAATGCATGTTCCCTGAAAGTGATGGCTGGGAGAAGAAGAGAGGACCGTGGGCCTGTTGCAGGTTAGGTTCCTGGAAGCAGATTCTGAGATGGAGATTGGAGTGCAGGATGTTTATGAGGGAGCACCCTTGGGATCAACAGGCGTGGGAAGGATGGGAGGGAACAGGAGTGGCACAGGGGGAAAGTAGTGAGCTCCATGCAGGCCCCAAGACAGTTTTAGCTGACTCGACAGGGACTCTAGAGCTAGAGTAGCCCATCAGATGAGCTAAGATGGCCAGGTCATCCTGCCTTTATCAGTCCTTGGATGTGGGGCCACCTGGCAAGTGGGGCAACAAGGGCCAAGATGGCCCTGTCTGTGGAGAAGCTGACATTAAAGGCTTTGTGCTAACAGCACTCCTAGCAGCTGGTGTCTGTCCTAAGTCCTCAGTGATGGGGGATCTGGGCAGCACATCACAATGTCTCCCCCTGCTCAGAAAACCCCTGTTGAGCCCATGAAATGTCAAACATGGAGCTGGATCCTGTACTCACAGGCTGTGAGTTTTTTCTGGAAACTCACAGACTGGTGTGAGAGAAACCAGGTAAACTGCAGATTTTATGTAATGTGGTAAGGGCTAAGCACTCCTGTGGTCATCAACAAAAACTTCCTGAGCACCTTTTCTATGCCAAGTTTTGCTTTAGGTGATTCTTAGGCAGGGATGAACAGGAGGGCATTATCTCTATCCAGGGAGACACAGGAATTAAATAATTTATAAATAGCTCTAAAATTACTGTTGTGGTGAGTACCACCTAAACTAGCCTGGAGGGCCATGGAGGGCTTTCCAGAAAAAGGGAGATTTGAGCTGAGCTCTGAAGAATGAGGAGAAATTGGTCAGGATGAAGCAACATACAAGTGCAAAGGTCCTGGGGGGAAAGGAACATGGTGCATTGAGTAACAAAGAAGCCTCATTTGGTTGGAACAGAGAGGACAAAGGATGAGAGGGAAAGGTGGAGAGGCAGGAGGGAGTGAGATCACACAGAGCCTAGTAGGCCACAGTAGGGACTGTGGTCTTTAAACCAAGAAATGAAGGTTCTTTTTAGCAGGGAGGTATCACAATGAGTCTTTTGTTGTAGAAAGATCTCTTTCGACAGGGCCCGGTGGCTCACACCTGTAATCCCAATACTTTGGGAAGCCAAGACTGGAGGATTGCTTGAGGCCAGGCGTTCAAGACCAGCCTGGGCAACCTAGCAAGAACTGTCTCTTCAAAAAATTAAAAAATTAGGCCAGGCGCGATGGCTTACGCCTGTAATCCCAGCACTTTGGGAGGCCTAGGCAGGCAGATCGCAAGGTCAGGAGAACGAGACCATCCTGGTTAATGCAGTGAAACCCCATCTCTACTAAAAATACAAAAAATTAGCCAGGTGTGGTGGCACACGCCTGTAGTCCCAGCTACTTGGGAGGCTGAGGCAGGAGAATCACTTGAACCCGGGAGGCAGAGGTTGCAGTGAGCAGAGATTGTGCCACTGTACTCCAGCCTGGGTGATAGAGCGAGACTCCATCTAAAAAAATAAAAATTAAAAATTAGCCTCGTGTGGTAGCATGTGCCTGTGGTTCTAGCTATTTAGGAGGCTGAGGCAGGAGGATTGCTTGAGCCCAGGAGTTCAAGGTTGCAGTGAGCTATGATCATACCACTGCACTCCAACCTGGGTGACACAGACACTATCTCAAAAAAAAAATCCTTCTGGCTGTTCTGTGGAGTTGATAGGAAAGGGCAAGAGCAGATGTGGTCTAGATGTTGGAGTTGACGTAGCTCCAGGGCTACCTCCTAGAGACCCAGAGGCAGTTGCTACCTAGCCTGAGCAGCCAGGCAAGGCCTTCTGGAGGTGTGAGGTGATACTGGAGTTATATCTTGAAAGAGGAATGGGAATTCTCTAGGAGGGTCAGGGCAACAACGTCAGACTGAAAGAGCAGTATCTATGACAGCACAGAGTCAGAGAAGTGCTTGGCTGTTTGAGGTGAGAAGGGGTGTGGGGCAGATGAGATTGGAAGGGTCATCAGGATAGAGAAGGGCCTTGAGTGCCAAGTCACTCTCTAGAGTGTGGCAAGCAAAGGTTTTGAAGCTGGCCACAAGATCATATAGTTACTAGGACTCGAACCCAGGCCTTCAGGTGTAGACCATGGGATTTTTCTGCACCACCAAGGTGGCCTCACTCTTCAGGAGAAGGCAATATTATCAGGAGAGGTGGAGAGCAGAGGAAACGGCGCTCCAGGCAAGGGCCAAGGCATACATAAGGTGCCCCTGCCCATCCTGCTCCTTCTTCCCCATCTCTTTTGGGAGCCTTAAGCCTGTGATGGGTCCCACAGCTATTAAATGGTCTCTTCTCTCTCTGCCTTCTGGAACCATTGGGCTCTCTTCCTGCCACCTGTCCCTTTCACTCAGCCCCTTCTTGAGTGTCCCAGTAACCAGGAGTTCTCAAATTCTACTTCATATAACTTGGAGTGTTGCAAGTTTGGCCAAGCTATTTCCTGTTAAAATCCAGATAGATGAGCCGGGCGAGGTGGCTCACATGTTTATACAAAATTAGCCGAGCGTGGTGGTGCATGCCTGTAATTCCAGCTACTCAGGAGGCTGAGGCAGGAGAATCACTTGAACCCAGGAGGCGGCGGTTGCGGTGAGCCAAGATCATGCCATTGCAGTCCAGCCTGGGCAACAAGAGTGAAACTCCGTCTCAAAAAAAAAAAAAAAAATCCAGATAGATGGGCATTTCTACTAAACAGGGGGAAAAAAGTTAATAGTTAAATATTTCTCAGCTGTAACTTTCTTTCCTGGGCACTTTTCTCCTTTCCTATTTATGCTTCAAAACCCAGCTCATATGTGAAAAAGATACTTGGTCATGCATGTTTATAGCAACACAATTTGTAATTGCAAAAATGTGGAACCAACTGAAATACCCGTCAATCAACGAGTGGATAAAGAAACTGTGGCATACTCCATACGATGGAATACTACTCAGCCATAAAAAGGAATGAATTAGTCAAACCAATCCCCTGAGCCCTATGCAAATCAGACACCGCCTATTCCAGCCTCCTCATGTAACTGGCTGGTTTCTGCTGTACTCGCGGTTTCCTCTCTCGGCTTTGGATCACCCCCTCCCTCTGTCTCTGTACAGGGGGAGCTTCTTTCTTCTTCCTTGCCTGTTGGGAGAGAGAAAGAATAAAAACTAAAACTAGTCATACAAAACCTACAGTACTTTACTTTTTTTTTTTTGAGACGGCATCTCACTCTGTCGCTCAGGCTGGAGTGCAGTGGCACAATCTCAGCTCACTGCAACCTCTGCCTCCCGGGTTCAAGTGATTCTGTGCCTCCGCCTTCTGAGTACCTGGGATTACAGGCGGCCACCACCACGCACAGCTAAATTCTTTTGGTATTTTTAGTAGAGACGGGGTTTCATCATATTGGCTAGGCTGGTCTCAAACTCCTGGCCTCAAGTGATCCTTCTGCCTCGGCCTCCCAAACTGCTGGGATTACAGACGTGAGCCACCGCAACCGGCCAACATGTAGTACTTTACATGGCATTAAGCGGGGGAGAGGGTAGAGTAGTATGGTATAGAGTAAGGAGGGATTGTAACTTTAATTTGAATGATCAGGAAGCCTCACTGAGAAAATGGTATTTGGGCAAAGACCTAAAGAATGTCAGAGAGGAAAGTAGAAGAGCAGTCTCGGTAGAGGAAGCAGCAAGTACAAGGGCCTGGAGGCAGGAGCAGGCACGATGTGTTTGCTGAACAGCAAAGAGTCTAGTGTGGCTGGAGCAGAGTGAGCAAGGGGAAGAGTAACAGAAGATGACATCAGAGAGGTAAGGGATGGGTACACAGCTACTGTAGCATCTTACAAGCCATTGTGAAGAGTGTGGCTTTGATTCTGAATGGGATGGGAGGCCACTTAAGGGTTTTAATCAGGGAATGGACATTTCTAATTTATGTTTTACCAGAATCATTCTGACTGCAGTACTGAAATGAGAAGAGTAGTCAGGAGGCTATTGCAGTAATCCTCATAAGGGGACATGTGGGCAGTGGAGGTGGTGAGAAGTAGATTCTGAATATATTTTGAAAGCAGAGGCTGGGTGTGGTGGCTCATGCCTGTAATCCCAACAAGAATCTCTTGATGCTAGGAGTTCAAGACCAGCCTAGGCAATATAGTGAGACCCTGTTTCTACAAAAAAAAAAAAAAAAAGTAGCCTGGCACGGTAGTGTGCACCTGCAGTCCTAGCTACTTGGGAGGCTGAGGCAGGAGAGTCACTTGAGCCTAGGAATTTGAGGCTGCAGTGAGCATGATTACTTCACTGCACTCCATCCTGGGAGACAGAGTGAGACCCTGTCACTAAAAATAAAAATAAAGGTAGGGCGCAGTGGCTCACGCTTGTAATCCCAGCACTTTGGGAGACCGAGGTGGGCGGATCACCTGAGGTCAGGAGTTTGAGACCACCCTGGCCAACATGGCGAAACCCTATCTCTACTAAACATACAAAAAGATTCTGGTCATGGTGGCACATGCCTGTAATCCCAGCTACTCGAGAGGCTGAGGCAGGAGAATCGCTTGAACCTGGGTGGCGGAGGTTGCAGTGAGCCAAGATCATGCCACTGCACTCCAGCCTGGGCAACAGAGTGAGACCCTGTCTCAAAAATAAATAAATAAATAAATAAATAAAAATAAAGAAAGAAAGTAGAGGCAAAAGTATTTCCTGACAGGTGGAATATAGGGAATGAGAGAAAGACAAGAGTCACAGATGACTTTAAGGTTTTTGGCCAGAGCAATTGGAAAGATGGAGTTGCCATTAATTGGGATGAGGATGCTTGTGGGGGGAACTGGTTCAGGATGGAAAATCAAGAGCTCAGTTTTGGACATGTTAAGTTTGAGTTGCCTATTAGCAGTAGTAAACATTTACAAATTGGCTTTCCAGGAGAAAAAGGTGCGTGTGTGTGTGTGTGTGTGTGTGTGTGTGTGTATAATAAGTTTATTATAAGGTTTACTGATATAAATGATGCATAGCACACAATTCACAAATAATAAAATATATAGTACTTCTTATTGTAAATTCCATATGGCCACTTTATTCCCACAGAACGTTTTAATTGATGTTGGCCAGACTCTTATATCTATAGCCAACTAATGGTTGCAATTGCTGAACATGTATACTTCCAAGATTAATGTTGGTTGATATTTTTATTTCCATTAATAGTAAGATGAAAGTGAAACAGTAGAGATATATGCCAGAACAAGGATAAAGCCAATAACACGAAGGCTTTCTTTGTGGCATCTGAGAGTAGTTTCCAATACCAGAAGAATATTTACACTAATTTTTGTGTTATTCACAGACTAATGGCTATAGACATAATATACTCTCAATTTAATCTGTATTATTAACATTTTTTCCATCACTTTCTTAAGTCTAGGCAATAAACAAAACAATAAATCAACCCCTGAGAGCCACATTTGCTAATGTGTGGTGTAATACTCCCACCCTGGTTGATTTTGAGCTTCCAACATGATTTTACTGAATGTGGAGTTAGGAAGAGATGTGAGAATAGCATACCATTATGCAGTATTTCCACAATACAGATAGAATAGACATCAATAAACTTGAGAGCACAGAAAATCATAAAATAGAGTAAAACAATTAGAAAGTGATAAGTTTTTAATATTACCTTTCTTTTTAACATAATTTCTTTAATTTTAAAAATGTAATTTAATTTTTAGGAATGGCTGTGGTTAGCAAGAGGCTGGCAAAAGTCCTGGAAACATAACAATTGACTCTAGGAGCTGGTTCCAGACACCATTCCTATCTCTGATACGGTTGGATATATGAGTCAGGAATTGGAAGAGATCTAAGGCAAGATATAAATTTGGGAGTGGGCCGGGCACGGTGGCTCACACCTGTAATCCCAGCACTTTGGGAGGCTGAGGCAGGTGGATCATCTGAGGTCAGGAGTTTGAGACCAGCCTGGCCAACATGGCGAAACACTGTCTCTACTAAAAAATACAAAAATTAGCAGGGCGTGGTGGCAGGCACCTGTAATCCCAGCTACTCAAGAGGCTGAGGCAGAAGAATCACTTGAGCCTGAGAGGCGGAGGTTGCAGTGAGCTGAGATCGTGCTATTGCACTCCAGCCTGGGTGACAGAGTGAGACTCTGTCTCAAAAATAAATAAATAAATAAATAAATTTGGGAGTGGACAGCACACAGAATATTTAAAACCATGGTACTGGATGATGATGGTGAGTTGGAATAGAGAGAAAAGAGAACCAAGGACAGCCCTTGGGACTCCAGCATTCAGCTGGAGATGAAGACATGAGGGAGCCAGAAAAAGACACTGAAAAAGAGTAGCCACAGGAAGGACCAAAAACCTAAAAGAGTGCGATGTCATGGAAGCTAAGTGACAGATTTGTTCCAGAATGAAGAGAGGGATTAACTGGTAAAATGCTGTTGATAAATCTAGGAAGATTAGGACTGAGACCTGAACATGGGATTTAGCAATTTATCCTTCAACCAATAAAGGGAATTAAACAGACAAAATCACATTTCCTTGCCTCTTTGCCATTCCTCATCTGCTCCCCCTGCCTGTATTGTTTTCCCGTCCTTGTGCTTACAGCAAGTTCCTATAGGGCTTCCAGGTTTTATTAATCGGGGCCTCAATAGGAAACAGATGAGATACTCAGATTAGGGGAATTTGAGGAAGGCTCATTTACACAGGGACTAATTTCCATTGTGTGGGTGGGGTGTAGGAGAAGACAGGGATCGTTCAGGAACCTATCTGAACTGTTAACATCTCTTGACCTGAATGGATGGGAAGAGGGAGGAGAGATTATGGAAGCTGGAAAAAGAGTCCTATACACCTATACACCAAGCCATCTTGAAAGGGGCAGTTCCCTTGTTTGTTTGTTTGTTTTTTTGAGACAGAGTCTTCGTCACCCAGGCTGGAGTGCAGTGGCGCGAGCTCAGCTCACTGCAACTCCGCCTCCTGGGTTCAAGTGATTTTTGTGCCTCAGCCTCCCTGAGGCTGTTAATTTCAAAGGAGAATCACAGCCAGTCCAAGGTAAACTTACAGGGAAGGAGCCAGGGAGTTAATTCATCTCCTCTTTCTCACCAGTCTCCTTCGGGGATATTGGCCGGTACCTGAGTGGAAGCCAGGGAGCAAAGGAGCCCATCAATGTCAGCTGTACAGGTTCAGTGTACCAAGAAGACAATGGGGGTGGACAGTGGATCCAAAGAGTCAGACAGAAGGTGTGCAGCACACAAACCCAACTCAGAAAACAGGTTTTCTCTGAGGCTTTTCTCAACACTTTTATTTAGGTGGGTAGTTGCCCCCATTCTATGCTTTCCTTTTCTTGTTTTTTTATTTTTTAGAGACGGCGTTTCACTCTGTCACCCAGGCTGTAGTGCAGTAGTGTGATCATAGCTCACTGCTGCCATCAACTCCTGGGCTCAAGCAATCTTCCTGCTACAGCTTCCCGAGTAGCTGGAACTACAGGAATGGGCTACCACACCCAGCTAATTTTTTTTCTATATTTTCAGAGGTTGGGGGTGGGGGTCTCACTATGTTGTCCAGGCTGGTCTTGAACTCCTGGCCTATCTCGGCCTCCTAAATAACTGAGATTAGATTACAGGCATCAGCCATGGAGCCCAATTTGTGCTTTCATGTAATGTAGCACTTATCATGCTGTATTGCAATGATCCACAATACTGGCTGCACCTTAGAATCACCTGGGGAGCTTTTAAAAAACACTAATGTCCAGGCTCCACCCTAGACCAACTGAATCAGGAAGTCTGGGGATAGGGTCCCAGCACTATGTATTTTAAAAATACCCCAGCTGATTTTAAGGTGCAGTCAGGATTGACAATCACTGTTGTGATGTCATTGCCTATCTACTTGTATGTTACCTTGAGGAATTTGTAGCTCTTTGAGGGCAGGACCGTGTTTGATTCAAACCTGTCACTAACCTGCAGCATGGGACCTTGTACAGGGCAGATGCTCAGGACATGAAAGTTCACATTAAAGAGTATTACGACTTTAATTTTTGTGTAATTTTGTTATGATTGTGGTATGTATCTCATCTAGGGCATTGTTTTTCAAACTGAGAGTTGCAACCCATTAGTAAGTTACAGAATCAACTTACTAGCTCAGACTAGCATGGAAAAAAAATTGAATAGAAAAAGTCAGAGAATGTCCTATACAGTAAGGGTAAGTGTAGTATTGTGAAACACACATGTGTAATCCAGGATGCAATGTAAACTATACTTCTCCCATGGGTTTCATTCAAAATGCTTGAAATTCACTGACCTAGGACAAATAATATAACTATGCTTGTGTTTTGTTATCTTTGAAATGGGGATAATAATAGTACCTTCTACCCCATGGCATTGTAATGAAGATTAGATGAGCTATCATATGTAAAGTGCTTGATGTCCAGTACAGAGTAAATAATCAACAGTAGCCGTTAATGTTGTGCGACAACAAACATTTGTAACAAGTAGAATATAAAATTATATTCATGCCGTAGTTACTGCTGTGTAATATTATGCACGCAGTTAGACAAGCATGATTTATCTTACTATATTAGATCAGTTATTATTGGTAAGTGCTATGGCAATAAATAAGCTTTTACAAATAGGAAGCAGTGCACCCAACTTCATTTCTTGAGGCCAGGAATATTCTGGGGCCTGATTAGAGTGGTGGAGGTGCTGTCTTAGATTCTATCTAAGGCTACATCCTATTAATATCTTTACTGCATTTGACCGGTGCCCACAAGCTATCTCTGCACCTGCTCTTGGAAAATTAACACAGCTCTGTTTAGAGGCCCTAGCGGGGAGGGACTCAGCAGGCCTTAGTTATTTAAGTATCTAAAGTATTTTGCACCATGCCTGGCGCTCAGTAAATGTGGGCTAAATTGAATTGAACTGTTGATAACTGTTGCGTGACCTTGATCAAGTCACTCCCACTCTCTGGACCAGATTTTCCTGTATGTAAAATAAGGGAGGTTGCATGGAAGGTTAGAAGTAGAAGACACCTCTGATTTTACAAATGGGGAAGCTGAGACCCAAATAGGGGAAGGGACTTGCCCAAGTTCAAACCCGAAAGAGAGAGAGGGGTTATAGCTGAAATCTCCCCACTCTGTGGGTAGAGCACTTTGGATTGCCAAATATAATAGTAGCATTGTATTGTCAATCCAATTCTGTAGTCCTGGGAACAGTTAGAAGCAACAAACTAAAGATACTCATAGCAGCAGGGATAGATTGAAAAAATGTAGTGTGGTATGCAAAAGTAAAATACAGAATGATATATATAACCTGGTACCATTTATATAAATGTAAAATATGTGCACACAGAATGAAAATGCATATTTTGCAAGAACAACATAAATGGCTACACAATAAACACATTAGAAGAGTTGTCTGTAGGGATAGGGAGAGGAAAGGGAATGAAAGGCAATAAGTTGGGCCCAGTGCAGTGGCTCATGCCTATAATCCTAGTGCTTTGGGAGGCCAAGGCAGGAGAATCACTTGAGGTCGGGAGTTCAAGACCAGCCTGACCAACATGGAGAAACCCCATCTCTACTAAAAATACAAAATTAGCCAGGCATGGCGGCACATGCCTGTAATCCCACCTACTCGGGAGGCTGAGGCAGGAGAATCACTTGAACCTGGGAGGTGGAGGTTGTGGTGAGCAGAGATCGTGCTATTGCACTCCAGCCTGGGCAACAAGAGCGAAACTCCATCTCATAAAAAAAAAAAAAAAAAAAGGTGGGAGGAGGGTAAATAAAAAAAAGAAAGAGGCCTTTGAGGCCAAAGGATACAGTGTGCTATGAATTGAGAAATATGTTTACCTCAATTCTCTGTACCTGAAGCTGAAAAATAATATAAGCCATGTGTCTCATGGATTTTTTTCTATTATTATGTATAAAAGGAAAGCGGGTAAGTTCTGAAATTGATTTCTAAAAATCCCTTCCTCCTCTCTTTGGCCTCTACCCTCCTTTGGGCCTTGGCTTCTCTTACCTGGACTCCTGGAACACCTTTTTTTTTTTTTCTTTGAGACAGAGCGTCCCTTTGTCACCCTAGCTGGAGTGCAGTGGCATGATCTCGGCTCACTGCAACCTCTACCTCCCGGGTTCAAGCGATTCTCCTGCCTCAGCCTTCCCGAGTAGCTGGGACTAACAGGCACATGCCACCACACCTGGCTAATTTTTTTTTTTTTTTTTTTTGTATTTTTAGTAGAGATGGGGTTTCACCATGTTGGCCAGGCTGGTCTCGAACTCCTGACCTCAGGTGATCTGCCCGCCTCGGCCTCCCAAAGTGCTGGGATTACAGGCGTGAGCCACCATGCCTGGCCCTGATAAGAAGTCCTTTCTTTGTGCCCCCACACCCCTGTGTATTTATCATGCAGTGTTGTAAATTTCTGTTTACCTAATATGCAGAATTTGGCACGTGATAGGTATTCAAAAATTTTTTTTAAAAAACTTCTTATTGACATATAATATACATACAGCAAAGTTAAGATATTGCAAGCATATGGCCTTGATAAACTTTGCAAAGTGAACACACCATATAACATGCATTCAGATTTTTTTTTTGGGCGGGTGCGGACAGGATCTCACTTTGACATCCAGGTTGTGGTGCAGTGGTGTGATCATGTCTCACTGCATCCTCAACCTCCTGGGTTCAAGTGATCCTCCCTCCTCAGCCCCCCAACTCCCCAGTCACTGGGACTACAGGTGCGTGCCCCCACACCCGGCTAATTTTTGTATATTTTGTGGAGACAGGGTTTTGCCATGTTGCCCAGGTTGGTCTCGAACTCCTGGGCTCCAGCAAATCCACCTGCCTTGGCCTCCCAAAGTGTGGGATTACAGGCGTAAGCCACTATGCCTGGCCTGCCCCCAGATTTATAGTATTTCCAGGACTCCAGAAGGCCTCCTTATGCTACTTCCAGTCACTACTTCCCAAGCCCCCAATCCTGATTTCTGAAAGCATAGATTAGTTTGGCTGTTTTTTATTTTATCTAAGTAGAATCATAAGAATGTACTCTTTTCTGTTTGGCTTCTTTCACTTATCATATGTTTCACTCATCAATATTCCATATTTTTGCGTGTAATTGTAGATTGTTCATTCTCATGCCATATGTATGCTATTAAATTGTGCAAATATGCTACAACTTGTTTAACCATTGTACTATTGATGGGCACTCAATACATATTTCTTGGATGAATGAAGAAATCTGTCCATCCTGCTATGCTGTGAGTTCTTTGAGGAATGAGGTAGGGTTTTATTCATCTCTAAGTCCCCGGTATCTAGTATGGGGCCTGGTACTTGGTTGGAGCGCAGTGAGAATTTGAGGAATGAACTGATGTATGATTCCCCCGAGCCTTTGTAATTAACTGGTCGTTTCCCCATCCTCGGTGGGGCCCCAGCTTCAGATCCCTGGGTGATGCAGGTGAGTTGCTAGGCAACAGCATGAGGTTGGCTCTGGGGTCACAGTGGAGAGTGTGCTGCTAAGGCCAGCCTGATGGTAATTGGAAACACTTCTATTCAGCAGCCTCTGGTTCCTCCTTTCCAGCCCATCCCTTCCCCCCGGTCCCCTCCCCCCACAGCTGCAAGAAGGATTGTTTTAAAACAGGATCAGATCCCTGCACTCCCCTATTCCAAAACCTCCTGGCTGTCATGGAAGAAACCAAGGTTTAGAGAGTTGAAATAACTTGCCAAAAGTCCAGAAAACAAGTAAAGTCCAGAATCAAACGCAGGTTTGTCTGAGCTCTTTCCACTATTTTGATTTTGGAAAAGTTGAATTTGAGGTGCCCACTGGTGGAGAGATCCAAGCTGGACTCTACTGTGGTCACCTTGCTGCTCTCCCCAGCAAAGCTTTCCATGGAGTAGGTGCTGCAATCACAAGAGCCCGGAGGCCAGGAGGACAGTTTCCCGTGGGAGAAAGGATAACCTTGAAGGTTCTCTCCAACTTGGTATCTGAAATTTGGGATTGGTGGGCTTTGATCCATAGAGCAGCAATACTAGAACCCCAGAGCCTCTCTGCCTGACCTCACTGATCCCCAAAAGGCACAACAGATCAGTAAGCACTTGACCCAAACTATAGGAAGAAAGGAAGGCTGTCAGAAAAGGATTCCAGGACAAGGGGATATTTTGAACAACGACTAGGAGGCAGCCAGGTAGAGACAGGGGAATGTGATAGAGGCAGTTCAAATGGCATGTGATGTGGGTTTAGGAGAGATTTAATAATCTGGTTGAAGCCTACTTTCATGGGTGAAAATGTTACCAGTTGAAGGTATCCAGGTTCTTGGTGTCTTGAACAAAGAATTGGACAAACCACACAAACAAAGCAAGGAAAGAATGAAACAACAAAAGCAGAGATTTATTGAAAATCAACGTACACTCCAAGGGGTGGGAGCAGGCCCAAGCACAGGGGCTCAAAATCCCCTTTACAGAATTTTCTGGGGTTTAAATACCCTCTAGAGGTTTCCCTTGGGTTACTTGGTGTACACCCTATGTAAATGAAGTAGTGGCCAGCAATCAGTCTGATTGATTGTGAAAAGCAACCAGTCAGAGGCTGAAGTGAAGTTACAAAATTAACACTTCTATCAAATACTTGGCCCAAAATTAGTCTGATTGGTTGCTTTGTAAGCAACCAATCAGAGGCTGAAGTGAAGCTACGAATTACGCTCCTATGTAAACGTCTGATTGGTTGCAGAAATACTTTCAATTTTCCAACTGCCACAAAGAAAAAAAGGTGGGGGGTTTGCAAAGGGAGTAGCCTCCAGTCCTTTTGTTACTTAGGTGTGGAAAGTTGGAGTTTTCCTTTTGATTCGGTTCTAGGAAGTCAGCATGAATCTGCCTTAGATTCCCTGCCTCCAGGTCCTATTCTTCTGCCTCAAAATTACAGTTCTTTCAGGTATTCATCCATTCATTCATTTATTCCACAAATATTTATTGTGAGCCATGTACCCTATGCTTCAACCACAATGAAGTTATTTCTTTTCATATAATGAACAACAACTCTATCCCCCTCCAACTTTTGCATACATACACAGTTCTATGGAAAGCCATGATATTATGTCTGTAATCTGCATGTAGAATGGGAAAAGGGCATGTGAAAGAAGGCTTCCAGGAGGAAGTGTCACTCCAGCTGATACTAGAAAGATGTGTGGTTTTACTCAGGTCAGGAAAGGGGAAGAGGGAACTGGTCTAGAGAGAGGAACAACACGAGTAAAGGCTCAGAGGCAAGACAGCATGGTACATTTGGACAAGCAAAAGAAGCTTCTCATGGCAAATTTTTACACATTCTTTAAGTCTCCACTGAAACATAAGCCTTCTTTGTGGAGCCATTCCCCATGGCTCCACATGGGTGCCATGTCCCAGGGAGACTTCTATCCTCTCCTGTTCCCTGAAGCCTTACAATGTCTTTTCTTAGACAGGATTTATTACATTATATTATCATTTATCTGGGTTGTAATATTTTGTTTATATTTATCTGCCTTCTAAAGACTATAAGTTCCTGAAGACAGGGAACTATGTCTGATTCTGCTTTGCAACAGCAACTAGTGAATAGTGGGCACCTAATAAATATTGTTGAGGCTGGATGCAGTGGCTCACACCTGGAATCCCAGCACTTTGAGAGGCCAAGTGGGGAGAACTGCTTGAGGCCAGGAGTTTGAGACCAACCTGGGCAACATAGCAAGACCCCATCCCTACAAAAAATTTTAAAACTTGGCTAGGTGTGGTGGTGCCCAGCTGTAGTCCAAGCTGCTGAGGAGGCTAAGGCAGGGGGATTGCTTGGGCCCAGGATTTCAAGGCTTCTATGAGCTATGAATGTGCCACTGCACTCCAGCCTGGGTGACAGAGCAAGACCCTGTCTAAATAAATAAATAAATAAATATTGTTGGAAAACTGAATAAATGAACAAACTATTTCTGTGTCTTTCTCCTCCACTGAAGAATGAGTTGCTCAAAGGCTCATTTTACTCTGTAAAATGGACAAATCAGCAGGACGTGGGCGGGGCGGGGGAATAAAAGCTGGCCAGCCAAGCAAGCAGCGGTAACCGGCTCTGGTCCCCTTCTACAGTGTGGAAAGTTTGTTCTTTCACTCTTCATAATAAATCTTGCTGCTGCTCACTCTTTGGGTCCGCACTACCTTTATGAGCTGTAACACTCGCTGCAAAGATCTGCGGCAGTGGCTCACACCTGTAATCCCAGCACTTTGGGAGGCTGAGGCGGGCAGGCGGATCACGAGGTCAGGAGATCAAGACCCTCCTGGCTAATACGGTGAAACCCCATCTCTACTAAAAATACAAAAAATTAGCCAGGTGTCATGGTGGGGCCTGTAGTCCCAGGTACTCGGAGGGCTGAGGGGGGAGAATTGCTTGAATCCAGGAGGCTGAGGTTGCAGTGAGCTGAGATAGCGCCACTGCACTCCAGCTTGGGTGATAGAGGGAGACACTGTCTCAAAACAAAAACAAAAACAAAAAAGCCCTCTAACTGGGTGTTGTGTGCTCACTCCCCCTTAGACCTTACTTTCCCCATTCTTTTATTCACTCCCTTGTACCATCTGTGAGTACCAGTCTATTTTATCCCCCGACTGGAAGCCCTTGAAGGGCAAGGATCAGGATAGATTCATACCCTTGGCT
The DNA here is from genome assembly GCF_000001405.40 of Homo sapiens. Classification (NCBI taxonomy): domain Eukaryota; kingdom Metazoa; phylum Chordata; class Mammalia; order Primates; family Hominidae; genus Homo; species Homo sapiens. Next base: position 52,587,266 of record NC_000001.11, on the reverse strand, counting down.
CCTCAATGCCTGGTACATGGGGGGCAGTTCTCATTAAGCGCATGTGAAGTTGAAATATAAGGAACAATGAGTCTGAACAGTACATTCAGGACGACTGCAGACTCTATTTCCACTCAAAGACATTCATTTAAAAATATATATATTGTTTTATTGTTTCCTGGTAGCAATTTTCTTTTTGTTTGTTGTTGTTGTTGTTGTTGTTGTTTTTTTTTTTTTTTGAGACAACAGTTTCACTCTGTCGCCCAGGCTGGAGTGCTATGGCGCAATCTCAGCTCACTGCAACTCTGCCCCCTGGTTCCAGTGATTCTCCTGCCTCAGCCTCCCGAGTAGCTGGGACTATAGGCCTGTGCTACCACACCTGGCTAATTTTTGAATTTTTAGTAGAGACAGGATTTCACCATGTGGGTCTCCAACTCCTGACCTCCGGTGATCCACCCGCCTCGGCCTCCCAAAGTGCTGGGATTACAGGCGTGAGCCACTGCACCCAGCCTAAAAAATCTTTTGAAATTGATTCTCCTATAAACACTCAAAGAATGTCTATCCTGTGGCCGGGCTGTGACTGACTCTTAGAATAAAGTGGAGGTCTCTTAACTGTAAAGACATGAAATGTCTGAATCTTCCTGCTTACTTATTTGGAGTAATTGGCAATAATTTTCCCTTCCCCCACCTTCTGATTGAGAGACAGCTCACTTCCTACGAGAAGAAAACCAGATCACTAACCTGGGAACCCGAGTCTTGGAAAGAGTTTATTTTACCAGAGCATGCTTCCAGAGGGAGCGGAAAGCAGGAAGCCTGCGTTTTCTCTCCATTTCAGTTCACCTGGTACCTGGACTTATCACTATCCTTGTGACTGGTCTCAGTTTTCCCCCCCTCCCTCTTGGGACACTTTGCAGCCTCTGAAATATTTGGGCAGATGTTTCCTGTGGAAAATATTCCATAGCGCTGCCCTCTGTTATATGGGTTTCTGGTAGAAGTATCAAAGGTCTGAAGCTGGGCCCCATATTGAGATGCTAGGAGGTATACTGTGCTTGTAAGGAATCTGACGTGATATTAGAAAATTCCTTTTTAGAAATTTATTTACATTGTCAACAATTAAAACCTCTTCTTTTCTTCAGCTGGCAAGCTTTGGGATTTATCAAACTCTTAGCCCTACCACTGATTAACTACATAGCTCTGGACAAGTTTCTTAACCTCTCTGGAACTCAATTTCCTTTTCTGAAAAAAAATTTTGGGGGAAATAACAGTTCTCACCTCCAAGGGTTATGATGAGGTGGGGAAAGAAGGTATATGAAATCCTGGCATATAGTAATTGCTAGTAAGTTTTAACCATTATTACTGCTCTACCCTTGAACCAAAGGCTCGGCTCTGCCCAGTTTTTTAGACAATCCTGGCCAACATGGGGGCAGAAAGCTTCATTTATAATAGCAGGCAGGGCCAATAATTAGACTGGCTTGGGATAGACCAGGTGTGACCCCGGTTCAGTTTGCACAAGTGGTCTTTAGCTGAAATTCTCCTGCTAAATACACCTGCCCATGGTCATCAGCCTGTATAAGTCTTACTAATCCTAACCCAGGTAGGGAGTGGTGCTGGATCCTGCTCCTTATGCAACCAGCTGGCATATGGCCATGAGCAGACAGAAAACCCAGAACCACAATGTTTCTCCACATCAGACTTTTTTTTTCATTCTATATTTTTAAAAAATAATAGAGATGGGGTCTTGCTATGTTGCCCAGACTGGTCTCAGACTCATGGACTCAAGTATTCCTCCTGTCTTGGCCTCCCAAAGTGCTGGGATTACAGGCATGAGCCACTGCACTGTCCCAGACTCTTATTACTGTCACTTACTGCCTAGACTCTGGCTTCTGTCACCTAAACCATGTATCCAGAGTGTGTCTACACTCATCACACTCTTTGAACACTGTGCATTGGCCCAAGAAGTTCTTAAGTCTTCTCCTCACTAGGTTTCCACTTCTTCTGTCTTCCCCCAGCCCAATGGAAAAATAAGAAAGGATTTCAACATTTATTAGATGTTAGGCATCTTTCTTACTTAATTTAATCCTAACAACTCCATGAAATAGGTATTATTTTTCATTTTCGTTTTACAGATTAGAATACGGAGGTCCAGAAAGGCTAATTTGCCCATTTATGCATTAAGTGATGGGGTGAGATTTTGAAGCCAGATCTCTGCTGCTGAAGTCCTGGATCTCTCTGTTATAGCCTACGTATTCATTCCAAGACTCTCAGTCTTGGGGTCCATATAAATACTTTCACTGGTGTTAAGGAATTCCCCTAGGCTTCCAGTCTTACCTTCTGCTTTGCACCTCCAAGTTCACGCTTTCCTAGGGTCCTGCTTGGCTTCACACCTTGACTCTTCCTTCTTGTCTCACCCTATTTGCATATTGTAATCTTATTCCAAAGCCTGCTTTGTGACTGACCAGGAAATAATTTATTCATCCATTGAATCAATCATTAAATGTCGTCAGGGTTTGTATTAGTTTTCTAGGGCTGCCATAGCAAAATACCATAGACTGTGTGGTTTCAACAACATATATTAATTTCCTCACAGTTCTAGAGGCTGGAAGTCCAAGACCAAGGTGTTGGCAGCTTTGGTTTCTTCTGAGGCCTCTCTCTTAGGCTTGCAGGTGACCTTCCTCTCCATGCTTCTTCATATGGTCGTCCCTCTACACATGTATACCCCATAGCGTCTCCTCATGTGTCCAAATTTCCTCTTCTTATAAGCACACCAGTCAGATTGGATTAGGACCCACCCTAAAAGCTTCTTTTTAACTTAATCATCCCTTCAAAGGCACTTTCTCCAAATACTGTCACATTTGGAGGTACTGGGGCTTAAGGCTTCAACATACAAATTTTGAAATGGGGTTGGACCCAATTCATCCTATAACAATGCTCTAAGTAGTAAGCAACAGAAATGGACTCTTATGGATTTCAGCAGAAAAATATACTCAAAGGGGACTGAAGATTTCACAGAATCACAGGGAAGCCTTGGAAAACAGGCTGGAACCAGAGAGGCAAGGCAGTGAGTACCCAGCCCACAACCCAAATCACACAACCAAACCAGACTGGAGAGGTTGCTGCCATGACCATTACCACTGCCTTCTCTGGGCCCT